>NW_003571059.2:0-195632 GCF_000001405.40 Homo sapiens
TGTCAGTTGCTTGGTGTGGTGAAGCAATGAGAGTGTTTTTTTCGGGGGAGGAGGTGTCAGATAGATCAAGAATTTATAATTAGCATAAGAAATGTACTTCTTAACAAAGCCAGCCTGGGCAACATAGTGAGATTCCCATCTCTACAAAAAAAAAAAAAAAAAAATTAGCCCAGTGTGGTGGTGCACACCTGTGGCCCCAGCTACTTGGGAGGCTGAGGCAGGAGGATTGCTTGAGCCTGGGAGGTCAAGGCTGCAGTGAGCTATGATTGTGCCACTGCACTCCAGTCTGTGTGACAGTGCAAGACCCTGTCTCAAAAAATAAAAAGAAAAAAAAAGAAACATACTAAAAAAGGACACATATTAGCAATATGAAACAAGAACAATTTTCCATAAAGCAAGAGGCTTATGGAAATAAAAAGTATAAAAATACATGATGGTAAAAAATATATAACATTATCCTCTAACAGAATAGGCAGTAGGGTGGGTGCCGTGGCTCACGCCTGTAATCCCAGCACTTTGAGAGGCTGAGGTGGGATGATCACTTGAGACCAGGAGTTCGAGACCAGTCTGGGCAACATGGTGAGACCGTGTCTCTTTAAAAAAAAAAAAAAAAAAGGCAGAATTGATACAGCTGAAGAAAAATGAACAAGTAAGAAAATGTGGTGGAGGAACTTCTCCAGGAAGCTGATATAATTATATTAAGATCAGAAAAAATAAGAGAAAAGTCATCGTACGATATAAGGGACAGGTGTTTCTCAAAATCCAAAATCTTCTCTGCTAAGAGAATCCTGATTTTGTTTTTGTTTTTGTTTCTTGAGATGCAGTCTTGCTCTGTCGCCCAGGCTAGAGTGCAGTGGTGCAATCTCAGCTCACTGCAAACTCCACCTCCCAGATTCAAGTGATTCTCCTGCCTCAGCCTCCCCAGTAGCTGGATTACAGGTGCTCGCCACCACACCCAGCTAATTTTTGAATTTTTAGTAGAGACGGGGTTTCACCATGTTGGTCAGGCTGGTCTCAAACTCCTGACCTCGTGATTCGCCCACCTCAGCCTCCCAAAGTGCTGGGATTACAGGCCTGAGCCACCGCACCCAGCCGAGAACCCTGATTTTGTTCAGGTGTCAGTTGGCCACCCTTGTTCCTTGGAGACTTGGCCCTTTTCTAGTTTCAGGCATGAATCTTGATTAGTCTAAGGCTTAGTGACGTGCTGGTTGTGAAAGTGTGGTCCCTGAACCAGCAGCGTCAGCATCACCTGGGAGCTCGTCAGAAAGGCAAATTCTTGAGCCCCACCCCAGACCTACTGAATCAGTCAGAAACTCTGAAGGTGAGCTTTTCCTTTCTCCTCCTCTCCAACCTATGGTTTGACAAGTCCTCCAGGTGATTCTGATGCACACTGAAGTTTAAACACCTTTAGCCCAGTTAGGTAAACTCACGCCCACTGCTAGTGGTTATTTAAGGAAGGGGCTGGATGCAATTGTGTTTCTTGAGATGTGAGTGGAAATCTCGTGGGAGGCTTCCTCATGTTGGAGAGGGCCGCGTTGGAAGGGCCTTTCTATGCCCTTCGTCTGCTTTTTATCTCATCCTTTCCAAAAAATTAACTTTTTATTTATTTATTTGAGACAGAGTCTTGCTCTTGTCGCCCAGGCTGGAGTGCAGTGGCGCGATCTCGGCTCACTGCAACCTCCACCTCCTGGGTTCAAGCAATTCTCCTGCCTCAGCCTCCCGAGTAGCTGGGGCTACAGGCACCTGCTACTATGCCCAGCTAATTTTTGTATTTTCCGTAGAGACAGGGCTTCACCATGTTGGCCAGGCTGGTCTCAAACTCCTGACCTCAAGTGATCTGCCCACCTCAGCCTCCCAAAGTGCTGGCATTACAGGAGCGAGCCACCTCACCTGGCTTAACTTTTTATTTTAAAATAGTTCTGGAGGCCAGGTGTGGCAGCTCACGCCTATAATCCCAGCACTTTGGGAGTCTGAGGCAGAAGGATCTCTTGAGCCCAGGTGTTCAAGACCAGCCTGGGCAACATGGCAAAATCCCATCTCTACAAAAAAGTTTTTAAAAATTAGCATTTGCCTGTGCGTCCAGCTTCTCAGGAAGCTGAGGCGGGAGGATCACTTGAGCTTAGGAGGTCAAGGCTGCAGTGAGACACCATACTGGGATTACAGGCGTGAGACACCACTCCAGGTCTGGGTTCTCTTTTTTTTTTTTTTTTTTTTTGAGACAGAGTCTCACTCTTTCGCCCAGGCTGCAATGAAGTGGCACCATCTTGGCTCACAGCAACCTCCACCCCGCAGATTCAAGCGATTCTCCTGCCTCAGCCTCCTGAGCAGCTGGGATTACAGGCGCCCGCCACCAAGCCTGGCTAATTTTTATATTTTAGAGATGCCCAGGCTGGAGTACAGTGGTGCGATCTCAGCTCAACACAACCTCCACCTCCCGGATTCAAGTGATTCTCCTGCCTCAGCCTCCCCATTAGCTGAGATTACAGGCATGCACCACCACGCCCGGCTAATTTTGTATTTTTAGTAGAGACAGGGTTTCTCTGTGTTGGTCAGGTTGGTCTCCAATTCCTGACCTCCGGTGATCTGCCTGCCTCGGCCTCCCAAAGTGCTGGGATTACGGGTGTGAGCCACTGTGCCCGGCTGATCTTACATTTTCTTGTGCACTTATTCATGAGCTTTTTTTTTTTTTATGAAAATGAATTCCTACCATCCATTCTCCTTCCAAACTGCTCATACCCAGTATTCCCAAGGTTTTTGCACATGTATATAACAGAATGTCAAAGTAGATTCATTGCAATCTCAGTTTCTGCTCAGGCCCAAAGATTATAGATGCCAGCGAGGTCAGATCTCACAGTAAGGCCATTTCTGCATGACTTCAGGAGAAAATGCTGAAAACCTAATTTCCCCACACCCTTGGCCTCTTGTCCACCTGAAGGTAAGAAAGGAGTGTTGGGGGGAAGGGGGAGGGATAGCATTAGGAGATATACCTAATGCTAAATGACGAGTTAGTGGGTGCAGCACACCAGCATGGCACATGTATACATATGTAACTAACCTGCACATTGTGCACATGTACCCTAAAACTTAAAGTATAATAATAATAAAATAAAATAAAAATAAATAAATAAATAAAAATTAAAAAAAGAAAAAAAAAAGAAAGGAGTGTTGAGATTAGAAGGTATTTTTTTTCCTATTGGGATACAGGTGGTGTTTGGTTGCATGAGTAAGTTCTTTAGTGGTGCTTTGTGAGATTGTGGTGTAGCCATCACCCAAGCAGTATACACTGCACCCCATTTATAGTCTTTTATCCCTCGCCCCCCTCTCACCTTTCCCCCCAAGTCCCCAAAGTCCATTGTATCATTCTTATGCCTTTGCATCCTCATAGTTTAGCTCCCACATATCAGTGAGAACATATGATGTTTGGTTTTCCATTCCTGAGTTACTTCACTTAGAATAATAGTCTCCAGAGATTAGAAGAGTTTTTGTTTTGTTTTGTTTCTGTGTGTTTGTTTACGTAAGCTGTTGGTGTGCTGTGAGTCCCATCCTCTGTCCACCGTAGATGTGTGATGGAGGATGACAGTCTCTTCAACTGGACAATTCAGAGTAGTTATATGGGGTGAGGGGCGGGTCCAGAGAGGAATGGGGTCTGATATGGTTTGGCTTTATGTCCCCACCCAAATCTCATCTTGAATTGTAATCCCCAGGTGTTGGGGGAGGAACCTGGTGGGAGGTGATTGAATCATGGAGGTGGCTTCTACCTTGTTGTTCTCATGATAAAGTGAGTTCTCAGGAGATCTGATGGTTTTATAAGCGTTTGGCAAGTTCCTCCTTTGCTTGCTCTTCTCTCTCTCTTGTTGCCTTGTGAAGAAGATATTTGCTTCTCCTTCCCCTTCTGCCATGACTGTAGTTTCCTGAGGCCACCCTAGCCATGTGGAATTGTAAGTCAATTAAATCTCTTTCTTTTTTTTTTGAGACTGAGCCCCCCTGTCATCCAGGCTGGTGTGCAGTGGTGCAATCTCAGCTCACTGCAACCTCCGCCTCCTGGGTTCAAGCGATTCTCCTGCCTCAGCCTACCGAGTAACTGGGACAACAGGCATGCGCCAATAGCCGGCTAATTTTGTATTTTTAGTAGAGGTGGCGTTCACCATGTTGACCAGGCTAGTCTCGAACTCCTAACCTCAAGTGATCCGCCCACCTCAGCCTCCCAAAGTGCTAAGATTACAGGTGTGAGCCACCACACACGGCCTCGGCTATTTATAGCAGTGTGAGAACGGGCTAACACAGGGTCTTTCCTCACTGGAGAGAGAGGGTGGGAGGAGAGAGAGAGGGTGGGAGGGGAGAGAGGGGAGAGGGGAGAAATGGGGGAGGGGGGGAGAGGGGGGAGAGAGAATGAATATGAGAATGAATGTACCAGGAGCTTTTATCCTTTGCAGGAGCGCCACCTGGAGGTAGGAGGTGAAGTCTGCAGAGAGAAGCTGGAAATGTACTGACGGATCCCCAAGGATTCAGTAATGTGACCAAGTGGAGGAGCTGCATTTACAGGCATCAAGGGAACTGCAGGTGAGAGGTCTGCAGCCTTGCAAGAGAGTGGGGGAAGCAGGAGAAGCTCCACGTGGGGAGATAAAGGAAAAGCTGACCACGCTTCCTCCACGTTGCAGGCAACCTGCCGAAAGGATTTTAATCACTGAGCTGACACTGTATTTTTTTCTTGTATGTGACTTTTTTAAGAAGCAGCTGGAAGTCTTTATGACCTAAGATGACTATAAAAATTATGAGAAGGCCGGGCGCAGTGGCTCACACCTGTAATCCTAGCACTTTGGGAGGCCAAGGTGGGCGGATCACTTAAGGTCAGGAGTTCGAGACCAGCCTGGCCAACATGGCGAAACCCTGTCTCTACTAAAAATACAAAAATTAGCTGGGCGTGGTAGCACATGCTTGTAATCCCAGCTGCTCGGGAGGCTGAGGCAGGAGAATCACTTGAACCTGGGAGGCAGAGGTTGCAGTGAACCATGACTGCACCATAGCACTCCAGGCTGGGCAACAGAGCAAGACTGTCTCAAAAAAAAAAAAAGTTATGAGACTTGCTTTACATGTCACCCAAGGGCACAGGTAAAGAATTAGACCTAGGAGTTGGGTTGATAGGGCAATGGGAAAAAAGAAAAAAATTGTTTACTGAATCAAGGGAATAATCACACCTACATCTTTGCAACTCACGTGCTTACAACTAGGGCAACCAAATTGTTCCGGTTCGCCCAGGATTTTCTCTGGTTTAGCCCTGAAATTTCTGTGTCCTGGGAAATTCCTCATTTCTATTTTAAAACCGAAAGTCCCACATCCTAAGACACACACACACGCCCCTGCACACACCAATCCTGGTAAAACGGTAACAGTTGGTCATACTATCTACAACAACCCTATTCGAGATCTGTGTCTTCACGATGAGGAAAGGCACATGCAGTTCTGGAGATTTTAACACGTGTTCCCAAGGTCACACAACCTGCCCTTGTATCCAGCACTGAAAGCAGATGACTCTCCTCTTTCCACGATTCTAAGCCTCTTCCCGTAGCATGTCCCATGTGGAGGAGAAAAGTTAAGAAAATGAAACTGGCCAAAACTTGCTACTGCATTTGTGATTTTAGAAAGTAAATGATCAGACATTATTAAAATTATCAATGCAAAAAGAAAGTGAGACTGAACAGATTGTTTACCTTAACAAGATCAAGTTAAACTCGTATAGGGCTTATATATAATGCCGCTTAAAAGCTCAAGTTTATGCGGGGCAGTTTTGGTGGAAGAAGCTCAGGCAGTCCCTCTGGTGGTCGTTATAGATCTGGCCGTGGAACTGGTGGATATGAAAACAGAAGGTTCTAAAAACAGCAGAAAAGGGCAACAGTTCTTAGCAGGAGAGACAGTGAGGAAAGCTGCAGGTTACTTGGAGACAGTCATCCCAAATGCATTAGAGGAGGTGTAAAAATCTGCCACAGAAGGAACAATGATCCATAGTCAGAAAAGTTACTGCAGCTTAAGCAGGAAACCCTTCTTGTTCAGGACTGTCATAGCCACAGTTTGCAAAAAGTGCAGCTATTGATTAATGTGATGTAGTGTCAATTAGAGGTACATCCCTGAGGTCTTTAAAACAAAACAAACTCAGCCAGGCACGGTGGCTCACACCTGTAATCCCAGTGCTTTGGGAAGCTGAGGCAGGCAGATCACCTGAGGCTGGGAGATTGAGACCAGCCTGGCTAACATGGTGAAACCCCGTCTCTACGAAAAATACAAAAATTAGCCCGGCATGGTGGTGGGCGCCTGTAATCCCAGCTACTCAGGAGGCTAAGGCAGGAGAATTGCTTGAACCCAGGAGGTGGAGGTTTCAGTGAGCCAAGATCGTGCCACTGCACTCCAGCCTGGGTGACAAGAGTGAAACTCCGTCTCAAAAAATAAATTAAATAAATAAATAATTAGCTGGACGTGGTGGCAGGCACCTGTAATCCCAGCTACTTGGGAGGCTGAGGCAGGAGAATCACTTGAGCCTGGGAGGTGGAGGTTGCAGTGACCAGAGATCGTGCCACTGAACGCCAGCCTGGGCAACAGAGCAAGATTCTGTCTCAAAAACAAAAACAAAAACAAAAAAAGGCTCAAGTTTATGAATGAACTGTTCATATCAGGTGATGGTCTTTCAAAATAATGACTGTTTTGTACCAACTATTGTGCTCATGTGATTGATTGAACAATGCTTCCAAAGAATTTGAAACAATAAGGCAAAGAAACCTAATGTTCATAACAGAAAAAAAAATTAAATGTATAGCACTAGAAAAATTGATTTTTTTTTTTTTGAGACAGGGTCTCACTCTGTCACCCAGGCTGGAGTGCAGTGGTGCAATGATGGCTCACTGCAGCCTCCACCTCCTGGGCTCCAGCGATCCTCCTGCCTCAGCCTCTAGAGTAGCCCGGACTACAAGCATGCACCACCATGCTCAGCTAATTTTTGTATTTTTAGTATAGACAGGGTTTTACCATTTTCCCCAGGCTGGTCTCGAACTCCTATGCTCAAGCAATCAACTTGCCTCAGCCTCCCAAAGTGCTGGGATTACAGGCATGAACCACAGAGCCTGGCATGATACTAGAAAAATTCTTTTTTTTTTTTTGACATTTAAGTTCAGGGGTACATGGGCAGGATGTGCAGGTTTGTTACACGGGTAAACGTGTGTCATGGGGGTTTGTTGTACAGATTATTTTTTTTCTAGTGTATTTACTACTTCCTGATTATCAGATTATTTTATCACCCAGTTATTAAGCCTAGTACCCACTAGTTATTTTTCCTGATCCTCTCTCTGCTACCACCCTCCACCCTCTGACAGGCCCCAGCATGTGTGAAAAATTCTTATAGTCTTCTAGAAAATACAATAGGTAGCCTTTGGAACATAGGGTATCATAAAGAGAAGCTGTAGAAAATATATTTCTTTGAATTTTTTTTTTTTTTTTTTTTTACAAATGATCACTATAATGTTTAAAATATGTTTACCACCTACAGTTGTGTGCTAGGGAAGCCATAACAAAATGCCCCCCACTGGGGGGCTTATGGGACAGAAATGGATTTTCTCACCGTTCTGCAGGCTGGAAATCCAAGATGGAGGTGCCAGTAGGGTCAGTTTCTCCCGGGGTCTCTCTGCTTTGTATGCAGATGGCCGCCTTCTTGCTGTGTCTCCACGTGGTCTTTCCTCTGGATGTACATATCCTGGTGTCCTTTTCTTTTTTTTTTTTTTGAGTTGGAGTCTTACTCTGTTGCCCAGCTGGAGTGCAATGACACGATCTCAGCTCACTGCAGCCTCTGCCTCCTGGATTCAAGCGATTCCCCTGCCTCAGCCTATCGAGTAGCTGGGATTACAGGCGTGCACCACCGCGCCCAGCTAATTTTTGTATTTTTAGTAGACATGGGGTTTGGCCATGTTGGCCAGGCTGGTCTTGAACTCCTGACCTCAGGCGATCCGCCCACCTGGGCTTCCCAAAGTGCTGAAATTACAGGCGTGAGCCACCACACGTAGCCCCTAGTGTCTTTTTTATGTCCAAATTTCCTTTTTTCACAACGGCCTCTTGTCTCTAAATACAGTCACATTCTGAGTTACTGGGAGTTAGGATTCAGCACACGAATTTTGAGGAGATGTAATTCAGCCCATAATTAAGCCCTATCCTCATCAGACTGATGATCTGTGCTTTCTCTGAACTAACAGGATTTATATATTCCTTTTTAACAGCAAGGAACTCAGGTTCTCCATGGCCCCTTTATGAAGTTGCTCCTGCTGGTACATGACCCTCAGTTAGTTTCCTGAAGTTATTTACAAAGCCACCTCCACATGTGTTGAGCCTCTTCAGTTTACTTCAAATCCTGGGCCTGTGCTGCATGGCGGTGCTTTCCACAGATTCATATGTTAGATCTTTTCTATTTTTTTTTCTGAGACAGAGTTTCCCTCTGTCGCCCAGGCTGGAGTGCAATGGTGTGATCTCGGCTCACTGCAACCTCTGCCTCCTGGGTTCAAGCAATTCTCCTGCCTCAGCCTCCTGAGTAGCAGGGACTACAGGCGTGTGCCACTATTCCCAGCTAATTTTTGTATTTTTAGTAGAGGCAGGGTTTCACCATATTGGCCAGGATGGTCTCGATCTCTTGACCCCATGATCCTCCCACTTTGACCTCCCAAAGTGTTGGGATTACAGGTGTGAGCTACCGCGCCTGGCCACATATTAAATCTTTTTTTTTTTTTTTTTTTTTGAGACAGAGTCTTGCTCTGTCACCCAGGCTGGAGTGCAATGATGGATCTCGGCTCACTGCAAGCTCCGCCTCCCAGGTTCATGCCATTTTCCTGCCTCAGCCTCCCGAGTAGCTGAGACTACAGGCACCCGCCACCACACCTGGCTAATTTTTTGTATTTATAGTAGAGATATGTTAGCCAGGATGGTCTCGATCTCCTGACCTCATGATCCACCCACCTCGGCCTCCCAAAGTGCTGGGATTACAGGCGTGAGCCACCGCGCCCGGCCTCATGTTAAATCTTGACACCCAATGTGATCTGAGAGGTTGGGCCTTTGGTGATGGCAGCAGCCACTCCAGACGGCTTGCTGCTGCCATGACGCCACCTGCCCCAGGGAGGCCCAGCCCGGGCTATACACGCTATGGAGCCGCAGGGAGCCCTGCCCCTTCCGAGTTGGGGCGGGAGCTCCCAGGGTGATGCTACAGCTGTCCAAACCCCAGCTGTGGATCCGAGCCTCCCTCAGATCGTATCACATATCAAGACTTACTCTTGTTGACAAAAAGAGTCAAACTCTATAAAATATTTGAAGAGATTTATTCTGAGCCAAATATGATAATGACCATGGCCCCTGACACAGCCCTAAGGAGGTCCTGAGACCATGTACCCAAGGTGGTCGGGGGGCAGCTTGGTTTTATACATTTTAGGGAGGCGTGAGGCATCAATCAAACACATTTGAGAAATACATTGGTTTGGTCCAGAAAGGCTGGACAATTTGAAGGAGGCAGGGCCTTCCAGGCTTTAGGTAAATTAAAACATTTTCTGGTTGACAATTGGTTGAGTTTGTCTAAAGACCTGGGATTAATAGAGAGGAAATATTCAGGTTAAGATAAAAGATTGTGGAGACCAAGGTTCTTTTGAAGTCTTATAGTGGCTGCCCTTAGAGACAATAGATGACAAATGTTTCCTACTCAGACCTTCAAAAGTTGCTAGATTCTCAGTTAACCTCCTCAGGATTGGGAGGTCCTGGAGGAAAAAGATCTAGCAATGTTAACAGAGATCCTTTACATATGCAAATATTCCCCCCCACCAAGGACAGCTTTGCAGGGCCATTTAAAAATATGGCAAAGAAACATGTTTTGGGGTAAAATATTTTTATTTTCTTCTTTGTTAGGTAATGTTATGCCAGAGTCAGATTGGAAAGTAAGTCACGATATATAGGGCTAAATAAAACCCATCTGATGAGAATTTATGGTTTGTAGGGCATGAGACCCCAGACCCCTTAGATAAGAATCTGGGCAAGATAAAAAAAAAAAATCAGAGCTGAGTCCTCACTATGGTAATTCAGTGAGTGTGACTACCAGCATAGATGTCCATAAAGGATATCCATTAGGGCCACCCATTTTAATAATGTTTGCCAGGACCCTTCAATCAAAACAAAATCCATTCTCAGAATAGCTTAGAATCAAAGGAGGACTTTTTGGGTTTTTTTGGTTCAAGAAGGATTGGGCAAGAAAACTGCAGGGAGTGAAGGAATGCTGAGCTTTGGAAGCAATTAGAACCAAGAAAACAAAAGCTGAAAGCACTGTTACTCACTCCCGCTTCCCGGATGCTCCCTGAGTCATCTTTGTGTTTCTCCATAAAGACTGGCTTCCTCCACATGGCGAGACAGATGGCCACCAAGAACTCCCAAGCTTAAAAAAGAATGACTCTCTGTGGCAAGAAAACAAAGAGACACTCCTCCCCACCTTGCTACTCCCTATGTGGCCTCCACACTGCAACCTGGGACTGTGTAGTGAGGGGAGGGGGAGCGAAGAAGTTTGCGTTAGTCTGTTTTCACACTGCTGATAAAGACATACCTGAGACTGAGTAATTTATTTTTATTTTTATTTTTATTTATTTATTTTTTTGAGACGCACTCTGTCACCCAGGCTGGAGTGCAGTGGCACGATCTCCGCTCACTGCAAGCTCCGCCTCCCGGGGTCACACCATTCTCCTGCCTCAGCCTCCTGAGTAGCTGGGACTACAGGCGCCCGCCACCGCGCCCGGCTAATTTTTTGTATTTTTAGTAGAGACGGGGTTTCACTGTGTTATCCAGGATGGTCTCGATCTCCTGACCTCATGATCCACCCGCCTCGGCCTCCCAGAGTGCTGGGATTACAGGCGTGAGCCACTGCGCCCAGTCAGTTTACTTTTTAAAAAAGAGGTATAACGGACTTACAGTTCCACATGGCTGGGGAGGCCTCACAATCATGGCAGAAGGTGAAAGGCACATCTTACATGGTGGCAGACGACAGAGAAATGAGAGAGCCAAGCAAAAGGGGAAACCCGTTATAAAAACCTCAGCTCTCCTGAGACTTGTTCACTACCATGAGAACGGCATGGGGGAATGTGTGGGTGGAGGATTAGCCAGGTGCTGAGGCAAGAGACTGAAGGCACAAACTGTTGCAGTATAATAAAGAAAATAGAATAAGAATAGTCATAATACAAATTAGATGTAGAGATGATCATGGACAATTATCAATCATTATTATAAACATTATTAATCATTAGCTTTTAATATTACTCTTTGCTGCATTACTAATATAACCTAGGAATAACCGGCGGGTATAGGGTCAGGTGCTGAAGGGACATGGTGAGAAGTGACCTAGAAGGCAAGAGGTGAGCCCTCTGTCACGCGTGCATCAGGGCCGCTTGAGGGGTCCTTGGTCAAGCGGTAACGCCAGTGTCTGGGAAGGCACCCGTTACTTAGCAGACGGTGAAAGGGAGTCTCCTTTCCTTGGAGGAGTCAGGGAACACTCTGCTCCACCAGCTTCTTGTGGAAGGCTGGATATTATCCAGGCCTGCCCGCAGTCATCCGGAGGCCTAAACCCCTCCCTGTGGTGCTGTGCTTCAGTGCTCACACTCCTTGTCCACTTTCATGCTCCTCCCGTACTCCTGGCTCCTCTTTGAAGTTCATAGTAGATAGCGGTAGAAGAAATAGTGAAAGTCTTAAAGTCTTTGATCTTTCTTATAAGTGCATGGAAGAAAACGCTGACGTATGCTGCCTTCTCCCTCTCTCTCTGCTTCGGCTACCTAAGAGGGAAGGGCCCCCTCTCCTGTGATCACACGACTTGCTTCACCTTGTCAATCACTTCGAAGATTCACCCTGCTTACCCTGCCCCCTTATCTTGTATGCAATAAGTATCAGCGCGCCCAGCCGTTATGGGCCACTACCGGTCTCCGCGTCTTGATGGTTGTGGTCCTCCGGGCCCAGCTGTTTTCTCTTTATCTCTTTGTCTTGTGTCTTTATTTCTTACAATCTCTTATCTCTGCACACGGGGAGAACACCTGCAAAGCCCCATAGGACCCTGCAGGAATCCACCCCCATGATTGAATTATCTCCCACTGGGTCCATCCCACAACACATGGGAATTATGGGAGCTACAACTGAAGATGAGATTTGGGTGGGGACACAGACACAAGCCATATATCAAGGTTGTTCCTTCAGATGCAGCAATCCTGGGAGCTTCTGGTTAGGACAAGATACAAGCAGAGACAGCTTCATGGGTATTGTAAACTCAATGTTTGTGTCCCGACAAAATTCAGCTGTTGGAACCTAACCCCAAGGTGATGGTATTTGTAATACGGGAGCTAAAAAGAAATTATTGAGGCAGACAGTGAGGGTAAGAGAGTCCTCAGTAAGGTTTCCTATTAATAAAGAGCAGCCCCCAAATAATTTCTTTTCTAACAGAAAGCAGCCTGAAACATCAAGCTGCAAGCATAGATAAACAAGCTAAAATCTTGCATCAGCTGTGCCAATAGAAAACGGATGCCTGGGAGCCGGGTATATTCAACATGGAGGTTCCCTCTTCCCTTTTCTTTGTCCCCACATGTGCAGTAAAAAAGCAGACAACATGGCCCCGGCCAGGCAGAGACCCTACCTACGTAATAAAAGATTAGGGTGGGATGGCCAGCTTCTTTGGGGGCTATGCAAACGTCATACCTGGTCCGACTAATCTCTCAGGCCCTATGTAAATCAGACAGCACCTCCTCAAGCTTGTCTATAAAAGCCCCATGCATTTCACCACAAAACCAGGGGTCCCACTCGGGAACCCCTCTCTTCTCTGTGCAAAAGAGAGAACTATTCTCTTTTCTCTTTCTTTTGCTTATTAAGCCTTCACTCTTTTTTTTTTTTTTTTTTTTGAGATGGAGTCTGGCTCTGTCATTCAGGCTGGAGTGCAGTGGCACGATTTCGGCTCACTTCAACCTCCGCCTCCCAGGTGCAAGCAATTCTCCTGCCTCAGCCTCCCAAGTAGCTGGGATGACAGGCACCCACCACTGCGCCCAGCTAATTTTTATATTTTTAGTAGAGATGGGGTTTCACCGTGTTGGTCAGGCTGGTTTCGAACTCCTGATCTCAGGTGATCCGCCCCCCACTCGGTCTCCCAAAGTCCTGAGATTACAGGCGTGAGCCACTGCGCCCGGCCCAGTCTCTTTCACTATGTAAGGACACAGCAAGAAGGTGCCAGCTATGAACCAGGAAAAAAGCCCTCAGCAGACACTGAATCTACCAGTGCTTTGGTCTTGGACTTCCAGCCTCCAGAACCATGAGAAATAACTATGTGTTGTCTGTAAGCTGCCAGGTCTTTGGTATGTTGATAGCAGCCTGGATGGACTAAGACACTCTCTCCTTCCCTCTCATGCCCTGGACCCTCATCAGGGCCAGAAGTGGTTGGGGTGATGGCCCAAGCAGACTTTAAAAAGCACTGGCCTAGCACAAGGGTTGGCACGCTAGAGCCCACAGCTTGTTTTTGCAAATAAAATTTTTTGTTTTTAAAACAACTTTCTGGGCTGGGCACGGTGGCTCACGCCTGTAATCCCAGCACTATGGGAAGCCGAGGCAGGCGGATGACTTGAGGTCAGGAGCTCAAGACCAGCCTGGCCAACATGGTGAAACCCCATCTCTACTAAAAATACAAAAAAATTAGCCTGGTGTGATGGCAGAAGCTTGTAATCCCAGCTACTCAGGAGGCTGAGACAGGAGAATCATTTGAACCTGCGGGGAGAGGTTGCAGCGAGCTGAGATCACGCCACTGCACTCTGGCGCCTGGGCGACAGAGCAAGACTCCATCAAAAAAAAAAAAACTTTCTATAGATACATAATATTTATGCATATTTATGACATACATGTGATAGTTTGATACATGCACAGAATGTATAATACTCAAATTAGGGTATTTAGGATATTCACCACCTCAAACATTTATCTTTTTTTTTATCTTTTCGAGACAGAGTCTCTCTCTGTCGCCCAGGCTGGAGTACAGTGGTGTGATCTTGGCTCACTGCAACCTCTGCCTCCCGAGTTCAAGCAATTCTTCTGCCTCAGCCTCCCAAGTGGCTGGGATTACAGGTGTGCGCCACCACACCCAGCTAATTTTTGTATTTTTAGTGGAGATGGGGTTTCACCTTGTTGGCCAGGCTGGTCTTGAACTCCTGACCTCAGGTGATCCACCCATCTTGGCCTCTCAAAGTGTTGGGATTACAGGAGTGAGCCACTGCACCTGGCTCATTTATCGTTTGTGTTGGGAATGTTTCAAATCTTCTCTTCTAGCTATTTTGAAATATACAATATATTGCTGTTAACTATAGTCACCCTTCTGTGCTATTGAACACTTGAACTTATTCCTTCTATCCAACTGTGTTTGTGCCCATTAACTATCCCACCCCTTCTAGCCTTTGATAACTGACTCTCTCTTTACCTTCATGAGATCTACTTTTTTAGCTCCTACATGAGTGAGAACATGAAGTTGTAAATAAAGTTTTATTCTAACACCGCCACACCTACTTGTTTACATATCAGCGATGGCTGCTTTCATGGTACAACAGCAGAGTGGGGTAGTCTCAGCAGAGATCCTACAGCCCACAAAGCTGGACGTGTTACTCTCTGGTCCTTTTGTTTTCTGCCCTCTGGTCTAGGAGTTTGCAGCTCTGGGCGTTTTTTGTTTTTTTTTTTTTTTTTTTTTGAGATGGAGTCTCACTCCATTGCCCAGGCTGGAATTCAATGGCGCCATCTCAGCTCACTGCAATCTCTGCCTCCTGGGTTCAAGCGATTCTTCTGCCTCAGTCTCCCAAGTAGCGGGGATTACAGGCGCCTGCCACCACGTCCAACTAATTTTTTATTTTTAGTAGAGATGGGATTTCACCATGTTGGTCAGGCTGGTCTTGAACTCTGACCTCAGATGATCCACCCACCTCGGCCTCCCAAAGTGCTGGGATGACAGGCGTGAGCCCGGCCGTTTTCTTTTTTGCTTGTTGTGCTTCCTGGAGATGCTCAGTAATTCTTACATTCTTTCCTGGATAGCTGGTCAATCATTATTTATTATTTCCTTGAATTGTTCTAGGAGGAAATGTGGGGTAGAAAGAGTATGGTGGGGTTCTTGGGCATGAATAATCCATAAATAAGTCAGATTTCTTTTTAAGACGAGAAACTTAATTTTATTGATATGGACGAAGAGCAAGGAAACACAGTATCTGCATCTCCAGATTTCCGATAACCTTGGCCAGCACGATCCCCCCTCCTTTAGTGGCCAGGGCTGTCTTCTTGCTACACTTTCAGTGCCGCATATTCATGAGATCCTGGGGGCTCCTGGGTGGTGTCTGAAGCTGCCTCAGACAGGGCGCTGGTGCTTAGCTCAGCATAGGTCACTCCTTGGGGGTCTGCCGTCTTTGGAGAAAATAGATGAATATTAGAACTGAGTGTTCAATATGGCAGCCACTAGCCACACATGGCTATTGACATTTAAGTTAATTACAATTAAATTTAATTTAAAACCCAGGTCCTCGGTCACACCAGATGCATTTCTTTTTCTTTTCTGTTTTTATAACCCTTTATGCCTGTGACATCAATGGATCTGCGTAAGCCTTTTTTCATTTTTTTTAAATTTTTATTTATTTATTTATTTTGGGACAGAGTCTGGCTCTGTCGCCCAGGCTGGAGTGCGGTGGCGTGATCTCGGCTCACTGCAACCTCCGCCTCCCGGGTTCAAGCCATTCTCCTGGCTCAGCCTCCTGAGTAGCTGGGATTACAGGCGCCCACTACCACGCCCAGCTAATTTTTTGTATCTTTAGTAGAGATGGGGTTTCACCATGTTAACCAGGATGGTCTCGATCTCCTGACCTCATGATCCGCCCGCCTCGGCCTCCCAAAGTGCTGGGATTACAGGCGTGAGCCACCGCGCCCGGCCCATGCATAAGCCTTTTAAATGGAGATTTTGGTTCCCATTAGGGGAGTTTCGTGACTTGTCTAAGACCACATGCGTGATAAACAGTATACATTTCTGTATGGGCTTAACCAGGAGGCACACACGACCAGCCCATTGTGGTGAGGGAGCTCTTGTGGGACTCCTAAGCGGGAGGACTCACCGAGAGAGATACCCTTTCCATATTGGATAAATCTGCCTCTGAGTGAGAAAGGAAAAAAAAAAATCAGTTCTCAGCTGCAGAAGTCAGAACTTAGTCTTTCTATCCGGTGATTCCCTTAAACTTCCCCTGTCCCTTACCGGCAGCCTCCTGCTCCGGAAGTTTGGAATGGCTGGTTCTGAAAGAGAGAGACACACGTGAAAGGATGGGATGTGAAGATTTCGGGGAGAGGGTGAGGGCAATGGAGGGGAGAGGAAGGGAGAAGAAGGGAGAGGAGGAAGGTCACAGAATGGGCTGGGGTGGGGGCTCAGGGTGCCAATCCCGGATGTGCCAATGGGTTCCCTTGAGAATGACATGGGAATAAGTGGAGCATGAGCTATGCCAAGCATCTACCTCTTGGTGGATTCCTCAGATGATGAACCTACAAAAAATGCAGGAGGAATTTACCTACCGAGAAAATCCTTCACTCCCCCTCTCTCCCTTTGCGTTCTCTGAGCTCACTGTGCTGGCTGCATCTGTAGATGATGAAGACTGAGAGGAAGAGGAGAAGGATGGAGATGCAGCTGAAGATGGCGACAAAGATGGTTCTGGTGTCTGGAGGGGGAAGAGCAGGTCAGGGAATCAGCCTGGCTCCTGAAATCCACTGATAGGGGCGAGCCGAAAAGCTAAGAGAAGCCAGACAGATGGCCTGGCTTCCAAGCCTGGATCTCCCACCTCGGAGCTGGAACTTCCTATTGCTTTGGGGAATTTCCTTAATCTTCTCCAAGCTTCTGTTTCCCCATCTGTAAAGTGAGGATAGCAGCAGTAGCTACTTTATTGGATGGTGGGTCAGTACCTATAGAAAGGGCTGGAACAGTGCTTGGCGCATAGGAAATTCCAAAAATTCCCAGGGAATGTTTGGTGCATAGCAATGATATTGATCATTTATTGTGAGCCAGCTCTGTTCCAGGTGCTCCATATATATATATACGTGTGTGTGTGTGTATATATATATATAAATGTATATATATGTGTGTGTATATATAAATGTGTATATATATATATATATATATATATATATATACATATATATATATATATACACACTTTTTTTTTTTTGAGATGGAGTCGTGTTCTGTCACCCAGGCTGGAGTGTGATCCTGGCTCACTGCAACCTCCACCTCCCTGGTTCAAACAATTCTCCTGACTCAGCCTCCTGAGTAGTTGGGATTACAGGCGTGAGCCACCACATCTGTCTGTGTAATCACTGTCTGAAATCCACTGATGGGGTGAGTAGAAAAGCTAAGAGAAGCCAGACAGATGGCCTGGCTTCCAAGCCTGGATCTCCCACCTTGGAGCTGGAACTTCCTTGGAGCTGGACATTTCGACCAATAGACTTTGAGTAAAGCAGATGACCCACTGTCATAGGGGTGGGCCTCATCCAATCAGTTGAAGACTTTAAGACTTTAAGAGAAAAGACTGAGGTCCCCCAAGGTGGAAGGAATTCTGCCTCCAGACTCAAGCTGCAATATCAAGTCTCCCCTGGATCCCCTGCCTGCCTGCCCTGCAGATTTCAGACTTGCCAGCTCCCCACAATCACGTGAACCAATCCATTAAAATCAATCTCTCTCTCCATATATGTATATACATGTATATGTTCTCTTTTTTTTTTTTGAGACAAAGTCTCACTCTTATCGTCCAGGCTGGAGTGCAATAGTGCAATCTTGGCTCACTGCAAGCTCCGCCTCCCGGGTTCAAGCAATTCTCCTGCCTTAGCCTCCTGAGTAGCTGGGATTACAGGTGCCCACCATCACGCCCGGCTAATTTTTGTATTTTTAGTAGAGACGGGGTTTCGCCATGTTGGCCACGCTGGTCTTGAACTACTGACCTCAGGCAATCTGCCTGCCTCGGCCTCCCAAAGTGCTGGGATTACAGGCGTGAGCCACCACACCCAGCTTATATCTATATGTTCTATTGGTTCTGTTTTTCTGGAAAACCCTGGCTAACACAGACATGATCTCAGCTCTTAACTTCAAACATATTTCCTTTTTCTTTTTTTAAAGGAGAGAGAGAGATGTGAAAGGACGGGATGTGAAGATTATGGGGAGAGGGTGAGGGCAATGGAGGGGAGAGGAGGGGAGAGGAGGGAGGTCACAGATGGGAGCTCAGGATGCCAATCCCAGATGTGCCAATGGGTTCCCATTGTTGCCCAGGCTAGAGTGCAGTGGTGTGATCATACTCGAATTCCTGGGCTCAAGTGGTCCTCCTCACTCGGCCTCCAGGGTAGCTGGGAGTACAGACCACCACGCCCAGCCAACTTCAAACACACTTCAATGAGCTCGTTGATGCCAGGTAATGAACAGCAGTGACACGGGCATGGAAGGCGTTTAGAGTGGGGAGGGGTGGGGCTCTCTGAAGGAGACATGATTCCCCAAGACACAGAACAAGGGATCAGCTGGGAGAATTCAGGGAGGATTCCTAATAAGAACAGGGTTAGAGCAGGGTAGAAAAGAATGACCAGTGGCCGGGCACGGTGGCTCACGCCTGTAATCCTGGCACTTTGGGAGAGTGAAGTAGGTGGATCACTTGAGGTCTGGAGTTCGAGACCAGCCTGGCCAACATGGTGAAACCCTGTCTCTACTGAAAATATAAAAAATAAGCTGGGCATGGTGGCGCACGCCTGTAGTCCCAGCTACTCAGGAGGCTGAGAGAAGAGAATTGCTTGAACCTGGGAGGCGGAGGTTGCAGTGAGCCGAGATCGCATCACTGCATCATACACTCAACTGACCAAGACTCCAACTCAAAAAAGCATCCCTCTCAGGAGATAAAATTTCTACCAATTAAAAAACAAAAACAAAACAAAACAAAAAAAACTAGTTCTTGAGCAATATTGCCATGCAAGTCTACATCATAGCGTTTTAAAGTCTTAACAACAACCCTGCAAGGTAGTACAATTATTTCCCTCCCACTGGTGAAGGGCATGCATTCCCGTGTGACTCCTGGGATTACAGCAAGGGTTGTGTCCAAAGCTCACAGCGTTGAGGAAGAGAGAGCAACCTGTTACTAAAGCTAGGCGACAGAGTCCATGCAGTTCCCCCCCGTTTTTTGTTTTTCTTGGCACTTTAGATTCAAGAAACACAAGTCGTGAGACTTTAAGGAGTAAGTAGCAGAAACGTGATTAAGGAAAAAAGTTGAGCAACTATAGAAGTGAGGCCCCAGAAAGGGGCTTCACCAAGACCCCCGCTATCTTTGTTAGTGTGCTTTGAGTCTGAGAATTTTTCCTAGGTGTGCAATGATCTGTGGTCACATTACAGAGCCAAGTCTGAGATGCTTCACACGCCTGGTCCTCTGCACCAACAGAGGGTCTCCCATCCAGACGCTTCCCCTACTTGGTTCGCTATGTTTGCATTGGCATTTCTACATATCTATATATAGAGAATTACCTATCTAATTTATCTATCTCGCTAATCTATCTACCATCTGTCTAGGTATCTATTATCTATCTACCTATCTATCTTTATCTGTCTCTGTACCTACTTACCTATCATCTATCCAATCTATCCGTCCTATCTAATTATGATTTATCTATCTACCTACTTGCCTATCACCTATCCAATCTATCTATCCTATCATATGTAATTAACTATCTGTCTGTCTAATTTTTCTATCTTGTTAATCTATCACTTATCTAGGCATCTATGTATCTATCTTTATCTGTCTATCCACCTGCTTACCTGCTGTCTGTCTAATCTATCCATCCTATCATATCTAATTATCACTTATCTATCTACCGACTTACCTATCATCTAGTTACCAAATCTATCATCTATCTAATGTATCTATCAATCATAACCAGTTATCTATCATCTATCATCTATCATCTGTATGTATCTGTCTATTCACCTACTATTATCTATTTAATCTATTCTATCTAGTTATCTATCTATCTATCCACCTACTTATCTAATTTTTCTATCTTGCAACTCTATCACCTATCTAGGTATCTATGTATCTATCTGTGTATCTGTATATCTATCTATCTATCTAGCTAGCTTTATCTAGCTACCTAGTTACCTATCATCTATCTATCTAATCTATCATCTATCTAATGTATCTATCAATCATATCTAATTATCTGTCTATCTAATCATCTATCTTATCTATTATATCTAGTTATCTATCATCTAGCTAGCTAGCTAATCTATCTGTATCTATCTACCTACTTACCTATCGTCTATTTATCTATCTAATCTATCATATCTAGTTATCTATCTACTTACTTATCTAACCTGTTGTATCTAGTTATCTATCTACCTACTTACCTATCATCTGTCTATCTATCTAATCTGTCCATCGTATCTAGCTACTTATCTACCTATCATCTATGTATCTATCTAATCTATCATATCTAGTTATCTATTTATCTGCCTACTTGCCTATTATCTATCACATCTAATTATCTATCTATCCCCCTCCCTGAAATAAGGTTCTTTCTGAGCTGATCATCAGGGAGCAGCAAAAGGAGTGGGGAGTTTGAAACAAGACATATTTGAGTTCTAGTACTGGGTCTCCTACCTCCTGACTTTGTAAATGTTCCCTTCCCTTTCTGGAATACGTTATTTTTTGGTTAAATATAAGGAGGGGGCAGAGAGCTAATAATATCTAACTTGAAGAGTTAGGTAATGATGAAAAATCCTGGCTTTAAAGCGCTCAGTCTAGAAACTGACTCATTGTGTCGGATAATGGGATTGTAGGTATAATGATGATTTTTTTTCACCCAATATTCCACCTACACCCATCTCTCTCTGTAATAGATTCTGTCAATGTTCCTCAACCCATGTTCCCCAGATCCCTTTCCCATTTTTATGCATTCTAGATCGTGGCTTCTTTCCCTTTCCAAAGTGAACATTTGTATCTCTTCTTTGGGGGACTGCCTGGGAGAACTCCAAATGCCTTGGAATTTACATGCCCGGGACAAACTGCCACTGACGGCTGTGGGGACCCCAGCTCCCTAGCCTCTGGTCTTCGACCTTCTCTGTCTCCACTGCTTTCTGCAGGATGGAGCCAAAGATACCATCTGAGGGACACAGATATCCCACACTTGTTTAATCTATTTTCCTCCCAGCCCTTCTTCCCCACTCCCTAAAATGTAATTTTCAAGCCAGGCGTGGTGGCTCACACCTGTAATCCCAGCACTTTGGGAGGTCGAGGCAGGCAGAGCACCTGAGGTCAGGAGTTCGAGACCAGCCTGACCAACATGGAGAAACCCCGTCTCTACTAAAAATAGAATATTAGCTGGGTGTGGTGGTGCATGCCTGTAATCCCAGCTATTTGGGAGGCTGAGGCAGGAGAATCTCTTGAACCTGGTAGGCGGAGGTTGCAGTGAGCCAAGATCACGCCATTGCACTCCAGCCTGGGCAACAAGAGCGAAACTCTGTCTCAAAACTAAATAAATAATAAATAAAATAAAACGTCACTTTCACACTAATGCTGTCTAAGAGCCTGCTTCTGGTGGAGCTGAATCAGAGAACCCCTCAAAAGCAACAATTTTTTTTTTTTTGAGACAGTCTCACTCTGTCTCCCAGGCTGGAGTGCAGTGGTACAATCTCGGCTTTGGAACCTCCCCCTCTGGGGTTCAAGCAATTCTCCTGCCTCAGCCTCCCAAGGAGCTGGGATTACAAGCACCCGCCACCTCACCCCGCTAATTTTTTATATTTCTAGTAGAGATGAGGTTTCACCATGTTGGTTAGGCTGGTCTCAAACTCCAGAGCTCAAGTGTTCTGCCCACTTTGGCCTCCCAAAGTGCTGGGATTACATAAGCCACCATGCCTGGCCATAAGCAACAATTCTATCAGTGCATCTCCAAGGACTTATGAAAACAGGGCAGGAACAGCTGCTCCTGGACTCTCAGTTTCCCCAGATGGAAGCAGAGAAACAGCAGCCTTGCCTTGTCCTTTCTGTTCTCCCCTTTTCCAGCCTACGGTATCTTTCACACAGCAATTCACTAGAAATGAGAAGTACATTATTGCAAAATTCTCATCTTCATATGACCCCATAATCAGCTGAACTGGGTTCACCCTGAGATGTCCACAGATCCTGGCCAAATGTTGCATCAGTATTTGCAAATTGCCAGAATAAATCATAACTTGCTACGCTACTAAAGTCAGCGTGAGCAACAAGATACAGCCTGACACGGGGCATAAATGGAGGCACAGGCACCAGAAAGAAAGTCAAGTCTTGTGTGATAAAATTCATCTTCATTCTCTACATTGCGATTGAACATAGAGTCGTTTTCTAGTGTGTTTTAGGCATATAAATACAGGCTGGGGACATCATACCTGTGCTTACAGATATTTTACTTTTATTTTATTTATTTACTGAAACAGGGTCTCGCTCTGTCACCCAGGCTGGAGTGCTGTGGCGCAATCACAGTTCACTGAAGCCTCAACCTCCTGGGCGCAAACGATCTTTCTGCCTGAGCCTCCCAAGTAGCTGGGACTACAGGTGCACACCACCACGCCTGGCTAATTTTTGTATTTTTTGTAGAGATGGGATCTTACCAAGTTGTCCAGGCTGGTCTTGAACCCCTGGGCTCAAGTGATCCTCCTGCCTCATCTTCCCAAAGTCCTGGTATTACAGACGTGAGCCACTGCGCCCGGCAAAGATATTTTATTCTGTTTAGAATTGTGATGATACAAATTTGAACTCAAAAAGTACATTTTAAGAAATTATATAATACCCACTGGGATGGCTATAATTTAAAAAAAGAAAAGTAAGTGTTGACAAGGATGTGGAGATATTGGAACCCACATATATTACTGGAAGGAATATAACATGATACAGCCACAATGGAAAATGATTTGGCAGTTCCTCAAAAAGTTGAACATAATAGTCACCATATGTCCTAGCAAATCCACTTCTAGGTACATACTCAAGATAATTTACAGCGCGGAGACAAACAGATACTCCTACCACAGTGTTCCAGCACCATTACTCGCTTTAGCCAAGAGGTGCAGACAACACAAATGTCCATCAAAAGAAGAACGGGGCCAGGCACAGTAGCTCAAGTCTGTAATCCCAGCACTTTGGGAAGCTGAGGCGTGTGGATCACCTGAGGTCAGGAGTTCGAGACCAGCCTAGCCAACATGGTGAAACCCCCTCTCTACTAAAAATACACAAATTAGCTAGGCATGGTGACGGGCGCCTGTAGGTCCAGCTACTCAGGAGGTTAAGGCAAAAGAATCACTTAAACCTGGGAGGCGGAGGTTGCAGTGAGCTGAGATTGTGCCACTGCACTCCAGCCTGGGCGACAGAGCAAGACTCCGTCTCAAAAAAACAAAAACAAAAACAAAAAAAAGAATGGATAAGCAAAATGTGGTCTATCCATACAATACGATGCTTTTCACCATGACAAGAAATGAAACATTGATGCATGCTACAGTACAGACAAACTTTGAAAACATTATGCTAAAGAGAAAGGAGCTAGTCACAAAGGATCACATAGTGTATGAATCCACTTACACAAAATGTCCAGAATAGACAAAATCATAGACACAGAGAAGCATATGAATGGTTGGAAGGGCCTGGTGGGAAAGTGGGAAATGAGGAGTGACTGCTTAATGGGTACAAGATTTTCTTTTAGGGTGATGAGAATGTTCTGGAATTATGTAGTGGTGATGGTTATACTACCTCATGAAGATACAAAATGCCAGTGAATTGGACACTTTACAAGGGTGAATTTTTGGACTGTGAATTATATATCAATAAAAAAAGAAAGAAAATAAATGATACAAGAGCTCAAAATAGAAAAGCTTCTCTTCCTCCTCCCCCTCACACCTCACTAGATCTCCCACCTCGTTTCTGATACTTCTGTGTTCCTCTCTCCCATTAGATTTCATATCTTTCTCAGAAAACGTTCCTGACGTGAATTGTGTTCGTAGTGCTAGGGTAGCAGACATTTCCCAAGCCTACTATCATGGAATAAAAACGTTTCAAATAGTTATCTTGCAAGAACACTTTGGAGGATACCTTTTTGAAAACCGATTATACCAGCACAGACTGCTAGCAACAACCTTCAGCAACTTTGGCTCTTTGGAGTAGGTTGCAGGAAGATTATGACTTGCTGAAAGGAAGGATGATTAAGCATCTAGATGCCAATTTATATTCTGCATTTGGCCCTTAAAGTCTGGATGAGTTCCTGTTTCAGCCGAATGCTGCCAAAAGCTCTAACTTTTTAATTTTTTTTTTTTTTTTTTTTTTTTGGAGACAGAGTCTCACTCTGTTGCCCAGGCTGGAGGGCAGTGGTGTAATCTCGGCTCACTGCAACCTCTGCCTCCCAGGTTCAAGCAATTCTCCTGCCTCAGTCACTTGAGTAGCTGGGAATACAGGCGCCCACCACAATGCCCAGCAAATTTTTGTATTTTTAGTAGAGACAGGGTTTCACCATGTTGCCCAGGCTGGTTTCGAACTCCTGACCTCAGGTGATCCGCCCACCTCGGCCTCCCAAAGTGCTGGGATTACAGATGTGAGCCACCTCGCCTGGCCCAAAAGCTCTAATTTTTATGAGAAACTCTGAGGACAGAATCTTAGTCAATTGTTAATGAATAAGCAACATTAGAAAAAAAATTCAATATTCACCTATTTTTGAGAATTTTAGAGTTATAACAAACTCTTGATTATATATATTCCTGAAGTACCTACTCTGCGTAGGTCCTGGTCCTACTCCCCAAATGGGTCACTGAAAAATTCACCCCCATTATTCCCCAAATCCCACCCTAGTTTTTCATCATGTCATATGGCAAACAACGCACTCTGTGCTGTTTTACACACCAGCTTCTTCAGAACCCGGAAGCACTTTAGAGGTTATCTCCCCTCATCCTCCACCCCCCAAAACACAGCAGTTTCCCCAATAACATTGAGAAAATGGGCTTTAAAGTTCTTCTAGGCCGGGTGCGGTGGCTCATGCCTGTAATCCCAACACTTTGAGAGGCCGAGGCGGGGGAATTGCTTGAGGTCAGGAGTTTGATACCAGCCTGGCCAACATGGTGAAACCCCATCTCTACTAAAAACAAAAAACAAAAAACAAAACTGAGCTGGATATGGTGGTGGGTGCCTGTAATCCCAGCTATTCGGGAGGCCGAGGCAGGAGAATTGCTTGAACCCAGAACCCAGGAAGTGGAGGTTGCAGTGAGCTGAGATTGTGCCACTTCACGCCACCCTGGGGGACAGAACAAGACTCTTTCTCAAAAAAATAAATAGGCCGTGTGCGGTGGCTCACGCCTGTAATCCCAGCACTTTGGGAGGCTGAGGCGGGCAGATCACAAGGTCAGGAGTTCGAGACCAGCCTGGCCAACATGGTGAAACCCCGTCTCTACTAAAAATACAAAAATTAGCTGGGTGTGGTGGTGCGTGCCTGTAGTCCCAGCTATTCGGGAGGCTGAGGCAGGAAAATTGCTTGAATCCGGGAGGCGAAGGTTGCAGTGAGCTGAGATTGCGCCACTGTACTCCAGCCTTGGTGACAAAGCGAGACTCTATCTCAAAAAACAAACAAACAAACAAACAAACAAATAAATAAAGTTCTCCTTGTGCACTTTAAGCAAAGGTGATCATGAAGCAGATCTCATTGGGAAAAACATCTCCTTTCTAATTATCTTACCTGTTTTCATTGAGGGAGCTTCAAGTTCATCGTGTTTATCTAGAAAATAGGAGGGAAGAAAAGGAATTACACTAATCATACAGGAACCTTGGGGACAGGAGTCCTCACGTCCTACTTATAGACATCCTGTTCTTCTTTGGGAAGCAGAAAAGAGAATGGCTTCTCCATTCCCTAGATGCTCCCTGGGTCCTCAGAGCATGGACAGAGCCTCAGATTACTCTTCTTAATAGTCCTGGAGTTTGATAGTATTTTTAATAACAAAAATATTTATGAATGACCCTGCTAACGCCCCCTCCAGTTTGATTCCTTGCCAGTCTTCTCTATCTTGACAAAGAACACCATTCACCCAAATTCTTTCTTTCTTTTATTTTTTTTGAGTCTTGCACTGTTACCCAAGCTGGAGTGCAGTGGCATGATCTCAGCTCACTGCAACCTCCGCCTCCCGGGTTCAAGAGATTCTCCTGCCTCAGCCTTCCAAGTAGCTGGGACTACAGGCGCCCGCCACCACACCCTGCTAATTTTTGTATTTTTAGTAGAGACAGGGTTTCACCATGTTGGCCAGGCTGGTCTCAAACTCCTGGCCTCAAGTGATCAACCTGCCTTGGCCACTCAGAATACTGGGATTCCAGGCATGAGCCACTGCACCTGGCCTATATTTCTATCTCCACAGTGGCACCATTTAGTCTAAGTTAAAATATCACCTACTTGGCCGGGCGCAGTGGCTCACGCCTGTAATCCCAGCACTTTGGGAGGCCGAGGCGGGCAGATCACAAGGTCAGGAGATCGAGACCATCCTGGCTAACATGGTGAAACCCCGTCTCTACTAAAAATACAAAAAGTTAGCCGAGCGTGGTGGCGGGCCCCTGTAGTCCCAGCTACTCGGGAGGCTGAGGCAGGAGAATGGCGTGAACCCGGGAGGCGGAGCTTGCAGTGAGCCGAGATCGCGCCACTGCACTCCAGCCTGAGGGACAGAGCCAGACTCCGTCTCAAAAAAAAAATAAAAATAAAAATAAAAATGAAATGAAATATCACCTACTCACCAGTCCCTGGCAACCACCAGTTGCTTCTGTGAGTTTGGCTTTTTTAGACTACACATATGAGTGAGATCCTGCAGAATTTGTCTTTCTGAGTCTGGCTTATTTTGTTTAGCATGATATATGCGGAGATGTTGATGAAAGGGTATAAGTTTCCAGTTCTAAGATGAAGAAGTTCAGGTGCTCAGCATGGTGGCAATGGATGTGCTAATTAATTTGACTGTGATAATCATTACACAATGTACAGGTGGATCAAATCATCAGATTGTATACCTTGAATATATACAATCTTCATTTGTCAATTTGATATTTTTAAATTTAAAAAGTCGTATTGCCTGAAACGCACCAACTCTTACTACATCTAGTCCCTTATTTTCCAAAAGCAGCCAGAGGCCGGGCATGATGGCCTGTGCCTGTAATCTCAGATGCTTGGGAGGCTGAGGTGGGAGGATTACCTGGGCCTGGGAGGTCAAGGCTGCAGTGAGCTGTGATTGCACCACTGCACTCCAGCCTGGGCAACCGAGTGGGACCCTGTCTCAAAAAAAAAAAAAAAAAAAAAAGCAGCCAGTGACCCTTCCAGCATATAAATAAAATCATGCCATCCTCCAGCTCAACTTCATCAGTGGGTTCCTGTTCTTTCAAAGCAGACTCTAGGACCAGTTCAAACACCCACAAGATCCTAGATGCTCTAGGCCCTGCCTTATGTCCTCCTTTCTGTGTCTCAATCATTCCAGGAACACTCACACTTCTGAGACTTTGCTTTTGCTGCTCTCTCTCCCTGGAGGGCTGTTCTCCAGATATCGGTGTGGTTGGGTCATTCTCATCCTTCATGCTTGTGGCAGATAGACCCTAAGGGGGCACTCAGGAGACTCAGGAGCCCTGCTTCCTGGTGTTCATGCCTTTGTCTAATCCCCTCACCTTGAGTGTGGAGATCTGTGACTTTCTTCTCACCAATAGCTATGGCAAAGGTGATGGGATGTTATGCTCTTGATTATGTTACATTACATAAAACTCTGTTTGCTAGGGCATTTGCTCTCTCTTTCTTCTCTCTCTCTCAATCTCTCTTCTTGCAAGTGCTGCAGAATCATTCTAGCATGAATCCTACAGCTATAAAGAACCAGATATTGCTATCAACCACAGGAGTGGAGAAATGGACCCTTCCCCAGTCAAGCCTCCAGATGAGCCAGATGAGAACACAGCCCTTGTTGACACCTTGATTGCATCCTTATGAGACCCAAAGCAGAGGACTCAGCTAAGCTGTGCCTGGACTCCTGACCCACATCAACTGTGAGATAATAAATAGGTGTTTCAGGCTGCTAAATTAGTGGTAATTTGTTATGCAGCTGTAGATCACTAATACAATGCCTCTCACAGTTATTCTCCATCTATAATGTGTTTTTTAATTACTCTGATAGCTTGCTCTTATTTCTTTCTTTCTTCCAAAGAAGAATGTGAGCTCCTGTTGGCCAGAGACCTGGTCTGTCTCAGTTCCTACAATATGCTCAGGATCTACCAAAGTATCTGAATTTGTAGGGTGAATGGGCAGCTATTTTTGTGCCAGGTATTTTGCATTAATTTTTTTTTGTAATGGAAGCATTTATATGCCCATTTTGTAATAAGTAAAAAGTAGTATAATAAAAAAGTAAAAAGTAGTATAATAAAGTGATTTGCAAAGCAGCAAACAGATTGTATATGGAAGGCTGACCTGGAAAATCAACCACTGGAAATTGATACTATAGCCTGTCTTGTGATGTAATGGTACAGCTGCGATAGAGGTGAAGAAATCAGGAAACAGTAGATGATATGCCAGAGAACATAATTGGGAAATGGCAAATAATCGCGAGGCTTTTAGGGCTAAAGTGTGGGTGCAGAAATTCTTAAGACTACAAGAACGAGTTATGGGGAATACAATTTGAAATCAATATCAAAGTGATGAGCACCTTGTTGGAGTATCATTGATCAAGAGCCTCAGAAAGAGGGTAAATCAGAGGTGAAACATTAAGTATTCAGTTACTCATCATGCCCCAAGCCCAGGCTAAGTCATTGGTGTGGACCCACGGCTACTTCTACACTACACTGATGACTGTAAAGTCTCTCCAGGGATTTCCCATGATATGGCAGGACTGACCTACTGGAAGCAACTGTGGTCAGTTGAGAGGTATTGTTTAGTGACTAATAAATGAATGGATGAATGGATGGATGGATGGATGGATGGATGGATAGATGGATAGGTGGGTGGGGGTGAGTGAATGGGTGAAAGGGTGGATGAGTGGATGAATGGGTGGAAGGATGGACAAATGAGTGGCTGGGTAAATAGATGGGTAGGTAGGTAGATAGATGGATGAAGGGGTGGGTGGACAGATGAATGGAAGGGTTGGTGGTTGGATGGATTAATGGATAGATGAATGGATGGATGGATGGATGGATGGATGGATGGATGAGTTGATGGATAGATGGATAAGTGAGTGGATGGATGGGTGAATGAGTGGGTAGGAGGGTGGATGGGTTGGTAGGTGGGTAGATGGGTGGGTGGGTTGATAGATGGGTGGGTAGATTGATAGATGGATGGGTGAGTAGATAAATGGGTAGATGAAAGTGATGCAAAATTATTCTTTATCCCTCTTCCTTGGGATCTCAAGTCATGTATGTTACAATCCTCCCACGTGCATCTTCTCACTGTGGTCCTCATCATTTTTTTTTCAGTTACCTGCACCGTGCCTCCCATACTTTTCCACACAATGGGATCTCTTAGCCCCACAATCCATTATTTGCCATTCCTACATCCCTCATAGAGCACTGGACACTCTTTCTGGCTTTCCTTCTCTGGCATAATGAAATATAAATTTTCATTTATGTCTGAATAGCAACTGTGAAGCTCATTGTTTTTGTGACACCGGGGAGGTCACCTAATCTCTATGAGCAAAAAGAAGTTAGTAACACAACCACCCTCATAGGAAGTGAAGACTGAATGAGTTAGTGGAGGCAAGTTACCTGTCGTGGAGACAGGAACATAGAAAATGCTGGATACATGTCAAATGCCAGTGTTATCACTCTATCCTCACCTGTCACCCAGATCTCCAGCTTGTTGCTGGGGAAGGAGGCCAAGTGTGATGAGTTGCTCAGGTAATACACACAGCTGTAGTTTCCACTGTCATTACTTGTCACGTTCCAGAGCATGAAATCAGTCTGGTTTTTTCTTACTTGCCTGACTTGTAATGGTTCTGGGATCCCCATTTTCAACAGAGCAATTACAATACATTCGGTTCCATTGTATGGAGTGAGACATCGAAGTGTCCTGAGACCTGGAGTCATCCCAGGGTCTACATTGACTGAGAGCAAAGGTTCTGGGAGTGATCCTGAAGAGGACAAGGCAATGGAGGTAAAGAGAAGGGCCAGGGCTTTTCCATTTTCTACTGCACTTGGGGACTATCTCATCCATCTCTCCGTATTAACCATGTCTTTCATCTTCTGCATTTGATGCTTTAACATCTTGGGGCCTTGCTGCCCTTGGTGGGACCTCCCCTCGCAGGGTTAGTTAATTTCTAGAGCCAGTAAACAACTTGTCCTCAAGGATGTCCCTCAAATGCAAGCCAATAGATCCAGAGCCCATACTCTCAACCACCTTAATTATGGGGCTCTCACACTCAAGGTCAATGTTGTCCTCTCCTAATCACCCCAGGTCCAAGAACTAGACAACCAGGGACAGCCTCTACACCCCAAAGCCAATTCTTTTTTTGTTTTTCTTTTCTTTCTTTCTTTTCTTTTCTTTTCTTTTTTTTTTTTTTTTTTTTTTTTTGAGACAGGTTCTCATTCTATCACCCAGGCTTGAGTGCAGTGGCACGATCTTGGCTCACCGCAGCCTCTGCCTCTGGGGTTCAAGCAATTCTCGTGCCTCAGCCTCCCGAGTAGCTGAAAGCACAGGTGCACACCACCACACCCAGGTAATTATTGTATTTTTGTAGAGATGGAGTTTCGCCATGTTACCCAGGCTGATGTCAAACTCCTGACCTCAGGTGATCCACCCTCCTAGGCCTCCCAAAGTGCTAGGATTACAGGCATGAACCACCACACCTGGCCAACTCTAATCTTGTTCTCCCCACAAAATACAATCAAAGCTCTGGTCCACAGTTCTTCCTCCTCCCTCTGCCCCTCATTGACCCTGGTGCTTCCCCACATACTCCCCCCAGTATAGCCTTCCTCCTCCTCTTGGGAACTGTAACAGACCATCTTTTCCATGGCAATCATCACTTGGTCTGTCAGTCTTACCATACCCCAATTTTCTATTAACTGACCATATTCTACACCACCCTCCCACATCCACATCATTGGGACCCTCTCAGAATCTCTGATGAGAATCTTGCTCCACATTCGGTTCCCATTTCCACATTGAAGGTGTTGCATCTATCCTTCTTCTTCTTTTTTTTTTTTAGACGGAGTCTTGCTCTTTCATCCAGGCTGCAGTGCAGTGGCACAATCTCAGCTCATTACAACCTCTGCCTTCTGGGCTCAAGAGATTCTCTTCCTGCCTCAGCCTCCCTAGTAGCTGGGATTACAGGCGCCTGCCACCACGCCCAGCTAATTTTTGTATTTTAAGTAGAGGTGAGGTTTCACCATGTTGGCCAGGCTGGTCTCGAACTCCCGACCTCAAGTGATCTGCCCACCTCTGCCTCCCAAAGTGCTGGGATTACAGGCATGAGCCACCGCGCCGTGCCTGGCCTGCATCTATCTTTTTGTCTCCTAGATTCCTTCTTCCCCAGCCATGTCCCACGACAGGAAAAGAAATACGTGCATCAGGCAGGCTTTGGTGACTCACGCCTGTAATCCCAGCACTTTGGGAGGCCAAGGCAGGAGGATCACCTGAGCTCAGGAGTTCAAGACCAGCCTGGGCAACATAGATCCTGTCTCAACAAGTAATTTAAAAATTAGCCAGGCATGGTGGTGCTTGCCTGTACTCCCAGCTACTTGGGAGGCTGATGTGGGAAAATCGCTTGAGCCTGGGAGGTCGAGGCTGCAGTGAATTGTGTTCATGCCACTGCACTCCTGCCTGGGTGACAGAGCGAGATTCTGTCAAAAAAAAAAAAAGCAGCCGAGCGCAGTGGCTCACTCCTGTAATCTCAGCACTTTGGGAGGCTGAGGTGGGCAGATCACTTGAGGTCAGCAGTTCGAGATCAGCCTGGCCAACATGGTAAAACCCTGTCTCTACTAAAATACAAAAATTAGCCAGGTGTGGTGGCGCACCCCTGTAGTTCCAGCTACTCGGGAGGCTGAGGCAGGTGAATTGCATGAACCCAGGAGGCGGGGGTTGCAGTGAGCTGAGATCATGCCACTGTACTCCAGCCTGGGCAACAGAGCAAGACTCCCTCTCAAAAAAAAAAAAAAGGCTGGGTGTGGAGGTTCACGTTTATAATCCCAGCCCTTTGGGAGGCCGAGGCAGATGGATCACTTGAGGTCAGGAGTTTGAGATCAACCTCACCAATATGGTACAACCTCATCTTTATTAAAAATACAAAAATTAGGCCGGGCGCGGTGGCTCATGCCTGTAATCCCAGCACTTTGGGAGGCGGAGGCAGGTGGATCACAAGGTCAGGAGATGGAGACCATCCTGGCTAACATGGCGAAACCCCATCTCTACTAAAAACACAAACAATTAGCTGGGCGTGGTGGCGGGCGCCTGTAGTCCCAGCTACTCGGGAGGCTGAGGAGGGAGAATTGCTTGAACCCAGGAGGCAGAAGTTGCAGTGAGCCGAGATCGTGCCACTGCACTCCAGCCTGGGAGACACAGCAAGACTCTGTCTTAAAAAAAAAAAAGCAAAGCCAAACCAAAGAAATGTGTGCATCAAAGAGTACATCTGCCCTTCTCACCTGTGACCACCAGCTGCAAGTGTTCACTGCTTTCTGACCACTCATGGGAGGCTGTTGTCTTGTAGGCACAAAAGTACCTCCCAGCATCCTTAGGCTTCAGGTCCGTGAAGGGGAATTCAGCTTCGTTTTCTGCCGAGCTCTGTTCCTGCTTGTACCCAGAGTCGTTCACCTTGCGCAGCACAAATGTCACATTCTGGGAATGAGCCTGACACTTCAGGGTCACATTGCTCTCGGCTTCAACCACCGAGCTGGGCCAGGCGTGGAGGGAGGGCTTGGGCGGTTTCTCTGGAAACAATTCAGAGTTAATTTGAGTCTAGAATTCAGACGATTAAAGGAAAAGGTCATGAAGCGTGGGATGCAGGAATAAAAGTTTAAGTAGGAGAAAACTCACCATTCTTTTTCTCATCTTCGTAGCCCAGACACAGCCCTGGAAGAGAAATCTCAATGAGAGAAAAATTATGTGCTTGTCCTTGAGTACAAATCCAGCAGAGAACGTATGACTAGCTCTTTATAGGTCTGAGATATATATATATATATAATGTATATATGTATTATATATAATAAATGTATTAAGTATATGTACACATATTACATATAATACATATATAAATATAATATATATATTAAATATATGTATTACATATATGTATATATTTTTGGCAGATATCTCCCCAGACTTACCTCTTACTTTTGTTCCATTGTTTGTCATTCAGAAGCTACGTGTATGGAGAAAATTCCAGCAACTTCTTCTTTCTTTTTTTTTTTTTTTTTTTGAAATGTAGTCTTGCTCTGTTGCACAGGCTGGAGTGCAATGACATGATCTCAGTTCACTGCAACCTCCGCCTCCCAGGTTCAAGCAATTTTCCTGCCTCAGCCTCCCGAGTAGCTGGGACTACAGGCACCCGCCACCACACCTGGCTAATTTTTGCATTTTTAGTAGAGACAGGGTCTCACCATGTTGGCCAGGCTGGTCTTGAACTCCTGACCTCAGGTGATCCACACGCCTCGGCCTCCCAAAGTGCTGGGATTACAGGCGTGAGCCACTGCCCCCGGCCCAGCAACCTTTTCTGATGTATTGAATTGCTTTCATGAGTAATCCTTTCACCATCTAGAAATTGTTCAACATTCACCTATGCTTTTTTCTGGTATTTTCTGTGATTGCAGTGTTTTGTTTTGTTTTGAGACAGAGTCTCGCTGTGTCACCCAGGCTGGAGTGCAGTGGTGCAGTCTCAGCTCACTGCAACCTCCTCCACCCCCTGGGTTCAAGTGATACTCGTACCTCAGGCTCCAGAGTAGCTGGGACTACAGGTGTGTGCCATCGTGCCCAGCTAATTTTTGTTGTTGTTGTTGTAGAGATGGGGTTTCACCATGTTGCCCAGGCTGGTCTCAAACTCCTGAGCTCAAGTGATCCACCCGCCTCAGCCTCCCAAAGCGCTGGGATTACAGGCATGAGCCACCGTGCCCGGCCTGATTGCAGTTTTACCCTTGCCACTTAAATAATGCAAAGGTTATTTTATCGTGGAGTGAGAGTGGTGGGTTTTTTTTTTTTTTTTATTTTTCGAGATGGAGTCTCGCTCTGTCACCCAGGCTGGAGTGCAGTGGCGCGATCTCGGCTCACCGCAAGCTCTGCCTCCCGGGTTCACGCCATTCTCCTGCCTCGGCCTCCCGAGTAGCTGGGACTACAGGCACCCGCCACCAAGCCCAGCTAATTAATTTTTTTGTATTTTTAGTAGAGACGGGGTTTCACTGTGTTAGCCAGGATGGTCTTGATCTCCTGACCTCGTGATCCACCCGCCTCGGACTCCCAAAGTGCTGGGATTACAGGCATCAGCCACCGCGCCCGGCCGAGAGGAGGGTTTTCTTGCTCAATTCCAATAGAGAGAATCTGCTCCCCCTTCCCCGTGTCTTCTGGTCCCAAATACTCTCCTCACTTTAGCTTTGGTTTCCACTTACATTATCCCCTCCCTCTTCTGTGTTCTGTTCTCTACATTCCCCGCTGGGAAGGTAGCGTCTTAAACTTGGGTGGAAAATGGGATGTCAGTCATGGGGCTTGTTTCAGGGTGAAGTTACGTAGAATTTAGGTAGAAATTCTCTAGAGCCACGACAGTGTCTCAGGACATTGGTTCCTTGTTGACACAGGTGCCGATACAGAACGTGACCCCCCACCAAGCTTCACCACAGAGGAATGAGGTGGAGGCCTCACGATGGACCGAAGCTGCGTTGGCAGCGAGATTAGCTGGGATTGGCAGGTAGGAAACAGCCTCTGGGTGGGCAGGGCATCCCAGGACTCAGGCTCTGTTTTGAGACCCTCCCCAAATCCCGCTTTTAGATTCATGTCATCTCATCTCTGCTATCCACCCATCGTCTGTTCAAACAGTGATTCCTATATTCTTTTTTCTTTTTGAGACAGGGTCTCACTCTGTGGCCCAGGCTGGAGTGCCAGGGTGCAGTCACAGCTCACTGCAGCCTCAACCTCCTGGGCTCAAGTGATCCATCCATCTCAGCCTCCCAAATAACTGGGACTACAGGCATGCACCACCACGCTGGCTGATTTTAAAATTTTTTTGTAGAGATGAGGACTCACGATGTTGCCCAGGCTGGTCTCGAACACCTGAGTTCAAGTGATTCTCCCACCTTGGCCTCCCAACATGCTGGGATTACAGGTGTGAGCTACCTGCACCCAGCCCAATTCCCATATTCTTTTTCTTTTCTTTTTTTTTTTTTTTTTTTGACATGGAGTCTCCCTCTGTCACCCAGGCTGGAGGGCAGCGGTGCTATCTTAGCTCACTGCAACCTCTGCCTCCCAGGTTCAAGCGATTTTCCTGCCTCAGCCTCCCGAGTAGCTGGGATTACAGGTCCTTGCCACCATGCCCAGCTAATTTTTGTATTTTTAGTAGAGACGGGGTTTCACCATGTTGGCCAGTCTGGTCTCAAACTCCTGACCTCAAGAGATCTGCCCGCCTGGGCCTCCCAAAGTCCTGAGATTACAGGCGTGAGCCACCACACCTGGCTGATTTGTGTTTCTTGAAAAGAGAAGTTCAAGTTGTAACTCCCAGGACCTGCGAATGTGACCTTATTTGAAAATAGCATTGTCTGATCTTTGCAGATGTAATTAATTAAACTAAGATGAGGTCATACTAGAGTAGGCTGGGTATCTAATCCAATATAACTTACAAGAAGAGAAAAAGAGAGACAGAGACACACAGAAGGAAGACGGCCATGCGAAGACAGAGGCAGAGAGGCCAGGCTGCAATCATAGTGCTTTGGGATGCCAAGATAGGAGAATTGCTTGAGCCCAGGAGTTGGAGACTAGCCTGGGCAATATAGCAAGATCCCATCTCTAAAACAGAAATTATTTTAATTAGTCCAACATGGTGGTGTGCACCTGTAGTCCTAGCTGCTCAGAAGGCTGCGGGGAGGACTGCTTGAGCTCAGGAGGTTGAGGCTGCAGTGAGCTATGGTGGTACCACTGCACTCCGGCCTGGGCAACTGAGTGAGACCCTGTCTAAAGAAAAGAAAAAAAAAAACAGAGCCAACGATTGGAGTGATGCATCTACAAGTTAAAGAATGCCGGGAGCGCTGGCTCACGCCTGTAATCTCAACAGTTTGGGAGGCTGAGGCGGGCAGATCACCTGAGGTCAGGAGTTCGAGGCCAGCCTGGCCAACGTGGTGAAACCCTGTCTCTACTAAAAATACAAAAATTAGCCAGGCATGGTGGTCCATGCTTGTAATCCCAGCTACTTGGGAGGCTAAGGCAGGAGAATTGATTGAACCCAGGAGGTGGAGGTTGCAGTGAGAAAGATCATGCCACTGCACTCTAGCCTGGGTGACAGAGCAAGACTCCGCCTCAAGAAAAAAAAAAAATGCCAAGAATTGTCAGCCATCACTAGAAGAGGGGCATAAAACAGACGCTCCTTCATAGTTCTCAGAAGGAATCAACATTGCAAACACCTTGGTTTCAGACTTCTCATCTCCCCAACTTAAAGCAATTCTAATTCCTTTAAGCCACCAGGCTTGTAGTACTTTGGTATGGCAGCCATTGGGGGATGAGGTCAGTCTCCTGGTTGCCCAGCTTACTGTGCTCAGCAGCTGGAGGCTTGGGTATGAACCCGATAGTCATCTCTAAGGCACAAATAGCCGGGTGCAGTGGCTCACACCTGTAATCCCAGCACTTTAGGAGGTTGAAGTGGGTAGATCACCTGAGTTCAGGAGTTTGAGACCAGCCTGGCCAACATGGTGAAACCCCATCTCTACTAAAAACACAAAAAATTAGCCAGGCGTGGTGGCGTGTGCCTATAATCCCAGCTTCTCGGGAGGCGGAGGCAGGAGAATCGCTTGAACCCAGGAGGTGGAGGTTGCAGTGAGCTGAGATCACACCACTGCACTCCAGCCTGGGAGACAAAGCAAGACTCTGTCAAAAAAAAAAAAAAATGCTCATCTAAGGTGCAAATGTGTGTAGGAGACGAGCATTACCCCACAAGGAAGGGCTGCACCCAGAAAAGGAGGAAGGAACTGAAGCAGACGAAGCACGTCGATGTCCACCGCACCCCCCGTGCACCAGGGAGGAACTGGGGCCTTAGGGAGGTGGAGCTCTGCTGGGTCAAGCCTAGAGTTTCTATGTAGTAAAGCCGAGATTATAACCCAGGTCATCCGTTTCACAGTGTGAGCTCTGTCTGAATACATCAGGTTCAATTGGAGGATGGTTAAAATCAGCCTAAGAATCGAGCTGGTCAGAAAATTGTCTTCTTGGGGCCAGGTGTGGTGGCTCACGCCTGTAATCCCAGCACTTTGGGAGGCTGAGGCGGGCGGATCACCTGAGGTCAGGGGCTCGAGACCAGCCTGACCAACATGGTGAAACCCCGTCTCTACTTAAAATACAAAAGTCAGCCGGGTGTGGTGGCCTGCACCTGTAGTCCCACCTACTCGGGAGGCTGAGGCAGGAGAATCGCTTGAACCTGGGAGACGGAGGTTGCAGTGAGCCCAGATCACGCCATTGCACTCCAGCCTGGGCTACAGAGTGAGACTCTGTCTCATAAATAAATGCATACATACATAAATAAATAAATAAGAGAGAGAGAGAAGAAAATTGTCTTTTTGCCCACAGCCTTGCACCCTGTAGATCCCTAAGCCCAGCCCTCCTCTATTCCGACGGAGGATGATGGCAGTACTGCGGTATTTAGCGGCTGCAGACTCGGAGACCCCACAGCAGCTCTGCCTTTCCCAGCGGAGTCTGTCCCCGTGTCTCTGCAGCGCGGCCTCCTCCTCGCTTGCATGTGGGCGGCAGAACTCACAGAACCCACAGCCCAGACCCACCCACCGCAGGTGTGCAACACCTGGAAGTCATTACTTCCACACACCGCATTTCCACCTGGACTGCCACTCCCACATGAGTTTTTCTCACCAGCCCAAGCCCATTCGTCCCAGTCCTGGAGACTCACCGAGGCAAAGCAGGGAGAGGAATTCTGCGGTCATAGCGTCCCTTCTGCCAGAACCAAGGCCCCGCCTTGGGTTTTACCCTTCAAAGGCGGAGCGGGACTGGGCCGGCCGCAGCTCTCCGGCTGCCCGGTTCGTCCCCAGGATGTGCAGATAGAGGAGGTTTTGCTCTGACACTCTGGTTCTCTGCCCCACTCTTGCAGTTTCCTTCTCACAACCGACTCAGGAAACAAGAAGCCGTCGATGATAACTTCTTCCCCATGAATCCGGTGTGTGTGGCCCCACCCGCCCGAGCTCTGTCCTACCTTATCTGAAGTTCTGCCAAGAGTTTTCTGTAAATGTAATTTTTTATTTTAAAACACTAATACCGGCCGGACGCGGTGGCTCACGCCTGTAATCCCAGCACCTTGAGAGGCTGAGGCGGGCGGATCACCTGAGGTCGGGAGTTCAAGACCAGCCTGACCAAAATGGAGAAACCCCCGTCTCTACTAAAAATACAAAATTAGCCAGGCATGGTGGCGCATGCCTGTAATCCCAGCTACTCCGGAGGCTGAGACAGGAGAATGGCTTGAACCCAGGAGGCGGAGGTTGCTGTGAGCCAAGATTGTGCCACTGCACTCCAGCCTGGACAACAACGGTGAAACTGTCTCAAACAAGCAAACAAACAAACATTAATACCTATAGCTTTATAGCTTCCGTGTACCCACTAGCCAGCTCCCCACAATGTTAACCTTTTTTTGGGGGGCGGGGGGGACAGAGTCTTGCTCTGTCACCCAGGCTGGAGTGCAGTGGCGCGATCTCGGCTCACTGCAACCTCTGCCTCATGGGTTTAAGGATTCTCCTGCCTCAGACTCCCAAGTAGCTGGGATTACAAGCATGCACCACCACACCCAGCTAATTTTTTGTAGAGATGGGATTTCACCATGTGGGCCAGGCTGGTCTTGAACTCCTGGTCTCTAGTGACCCGCCCACCTCAGCCTCCCAAAGTGCTGGGATTACAGGCATAAGCCACTGTGCCCGGCCAATGGTAATCTCTTATAATTACAGTACTTTTTTTTTTTTTTTTTTTTTTTGAGACAGAATCTCTGTCAGCCAGGCTGGAGTGCAGTGGCACAATCTTGGCTCACTGCAACCTCTGCCTCCCGGGTTCAAGCGATTCTCCTGCCTCAGCCTCCCGAGTTGCCGGGATGACAGGTGTCCGCCACCACTCTTGGCTAATTTTTTTTGTTCTTTTTAGTAGAAACGAGGTTTTGCCATGTTGCCCAGGCTGGTCTCGAACTTCTGACCTCAGGCGATCCGCCTGCCTCGGCCTCCCAAACTGCTGGGATTACAGGCGTGAGCCACCACGCCCGGCGTATGGCACATTTTCAAAACCAGAGACTTTGCACTGGCATCACACGTTTAACCAGGTTCCAGAGGTCACTCAGATCTCACCAGTTTGTGCATAATTCGTTTCTCTTTTTCTCTTCCTCTTCCTTCTATTTCTATTTCCTTTTCTCCTTTTCCTTCTTTTCTCCTGCTCTTCCTCCTCTTCCACCTTCTTTTCCTCCTCCCTTTTCTTTGCCTATGGGTATAGTTCTGTAACATTTTATTGCCTGTATGTATGGCTTTATAGAACCACCGCCACAATCAAGACACAGAACTGTCCCACCACCACGTAGGAACTCCCTCATGCTGCCCCTTTATAATCGCTCTCCCACCCTAGCACCTGCTAATCTGTTCTACGTCTCTATCACTTTGTCACTTTGAGACTCTTGTATAAATGGAATCGTCCATCGCCTCACCTTCTGAGGGTGACCTTTTTCACTCAGCACAATGCCTGTGAGATTCATTCAAATGGTTGTGTGTTATGATGATGGATACATTAGCCGGGCGTGGTGGCACACGCCCATAGTCCCAGCTACTCAGGAGGCTGAGGCAGGAGAATCGCTTGAACCCGGGAGGCGGAGGTTGCAGTGAGCTGAGATCACGCCACTGCACTCCAGCCTGGGTCACAGAGCAAGACTCCATCAAAAAAAAAGAATTATCTAATGGATACAATGTGTGTCACTGGGTTAGTGGATACCTGAAAGCCCTAACTTCATCATTTTGGAATCTATCCATGCAATAAAGTTACACTTGTACCCCATAAACGTATACAAATAAAAAATAATCGTCTGGGCATGATGACTTACCGCTGTAATCCCAGCACTTTGGGAGGCTGAGGCGGGATTACAGGTGTGAGCCACCATGCCCGGCCTATACTTTCTATCTTAATAACTACAAAAATAATAACTTGCTGGATGGGTCCCTGTGCCCACCCCGTCCTGTCCTAAGTGAGGAGGATGGGAAGAAAGCCATCGTCCTGTCCTGGTGCGGCTCTCAAACAGCTGGAAATGCTGGCTGCACAGGAAACTCTAAGGATCGGCAGCTCTAGCGCATGCTACCCTTGGCAGCTGTGTGGTCTGTGGATAGAGAAGGACCAACCTGTGGTTAGTGGAGGAAGAGGAGGAATATTGCTTTGATAAGCACATCCTCAGAGTTATAACAGAGGAGACAATAGTTATAAAATAAGAATGATATTTACGAAAAATAATAAGACTATTAACAAGAAACAGCAACAAATCTTGAAAACAAAATGTAACAACAAAACATAAATGTTGACTTTTTTTTTTTTTTTTTTTTTGAGACGGAGTCTCGCTCTGTCGCCCAGGCTGCAGTGCAGTGGTGAGATCTCGGCTCACTGCAACCTCTGCCTCCCGGGTTCCAGCAATTCTCCTGCCTCAGCCTCCTGAGTAGCTGGGATTACAGGCATGCACCACCACGCCCAGCTAATTTTTGTATTTTTAGTAGAGATGGGGTTTCACCATATTGGCCAGGATGGTCTCGATCTCTTGACCTTGTGATCCGCCCACCTCGGCCTCCCAGAGTGCTGGGATTATAGGCATGAGCCACAGCACCTGGCAACTGTTGACATTTTACATCTGCACCAGTAAGACTGGCTACCAATTACAAGCAAATGGATGCCATGGATAGAATGGAATTCCTGCCAAACTGGGTAAAATGTTGGAAACATATAAAATAAAATGTAAAAGAAATGTATTATAAATACAGGCTGGGCGTGGTGGCTCATGCCTGTAATCCCAGCACTTTGGGAAGCCAAGGTGGGCAGATCACTTGAGGTCAGGAGTTCGAGACCAGCCTCGCCAACATGGTGAAACCCCGTCTCTACTAACACACAAAAATTAGCCAGGCATGGTGGTGGGCGCCTGTAATCCCAGCTACTTGAGAGGCTGAGGCAGGAGAGTCACTTGAACCTGAGAGGGAGGTTGCAGTGAGCTGAAATTACGCCACTGCACTCCAGCCTGGGTGACAGAGTGAGACTCCCTCTCCAAAAAAAAAGAAAGAAAGAATGTATTATAAATACATATGACCAAGCACAGTGGCTAACGCCTGTAGTCCTGGCACTTTGGGAGGCCAAGATGAGAGGATCACTTGAGTCCAAGAGTTCGAGACCAAGTTGGGCCATATGGTGGAACCCGGCTTCTACAAAAAATACAAAATTTAGTCCGGCATGATGGCACACACCTGTGGTCCCAGCTACTCAGAAGGCTGAGATGGGAGGATTACTTTAGCCTGGGAGGTCGAGGCTGCAGTGAGCCGTGATCTAGCCACTACACTCCAGCCTGGGCGACAGAGTGAGACCCTGTCTCAAAATAAATAAATATAATAAATAAATAAATATGTATATCCCAATATTGGACTAAATGCTGGTCCAGAAGCACAAAATAGAAAGAACGGAGAGGAAGTATTAATAAATATTACACAGGAAGCAATGTTTTTCCCTTCGTGTGGAGGAAGAGTTCCCCGCAGGTGAGAGTCACCTACTACTCAATCTGACTCTGAAGTTTTAAGTATTGATTCAAGTTATCAAAAATGTATTAAGGGCTGGGCACGGTGACTCAAGCCTGCAATCCCAGCACTTTGGGAGGCCGAGGTGGGCTGATCACTTGAGCTCAGGTGTTCAAGACCAGCCTGGCCAACATGGGTGAAACCCCATCTCTACTAAAAGTACAAAAATTAGCTGGGCATGGTGGCAGGCGCCTGTAATCCCAGCGACTTGGGAGGCTAAGGCAGGAGAATCGCTTAAACCCAGGAGGTGGAGGTTGCAGTGAGCCGAGATCTTGCCATTGCACTGCAGCCTGGGTGACAGAGCGAGACTCCGTCTCAAAGAAAAAAAAAAAAAGTATTACGTGGCTCATTGTGCCCAATTCTGTCCTCTGTCCCCAGTGAAAAGTACAGGAAGAAGAAAGCCACCATCCTGCCCTACAGCAGATCCCAACAGAGCTGAGAGTGCAGGTTCCACAGAAAGCGGTTAAGGCTCAGCTGGTCCAACCCATCATTCCCTGGGCAGCTGTGGGATCTATGGCTAGAGAAGAACAGAGCTGAGCTTAGAGGGGAAGGAAGAGGAGGAAGATTGTTTTCTCCCGGCATCCAAACACAGCTTTTCAACCAGGGGGAGCACCACCCTCACTTCCCATCGCCCCATCCAGGGATATTTGAAAGGTATGAGAGTAGTGGCTTTTTTGTTGTTGTTGTTTCACAATAATTAGGTCTCCAACAGGTGTTCAATGGGAAAGGAAGTATTAGCAATGTCGAGTTACGTGTTCCTATAATGGACAAGACAGTCTCACATGGTGAAGGACTATTGCACTTTAAACACCATTTGTGGCCATGCCCGGTGGTGCACACCTGTAATCCCAGCACTTTGGGAGGCTGAGGCAGGTGGATCACTTGAGGCCAGGAGTTCGAGACCAGCCTGACCAATGTGGCGAAACCCCGTCTCTCCTAAAAATACAAAAAAATTAGCCAGATGGTGGCAGGTGCCTGTAGTTGCAGCCACTTGGGAGGCTGAGGCAGGAGAATCACTTGAACCTGGCAGGCGGAGGTTGCAATGAGCCGAGATCGCACCACTGCACTCTGGCCTGGGCGACAAAGCGAGACTCTGTCTCAAAACAAACAAACAAACAAAAAAACAAAAAATACCATTTGTGCCCATGTGGAGAAACGTGTGAAGTCCCCATGGTAGAGTCTGATGTTTAAAGAACCCCATATGGATTGAATGCACAGCAGGGCGGCTACAGTTCACAAGGCTGCACTGGGTAATTACAATTTGCTAAGAAGGTGGATCTTAAACAGAAAGGTCCATAAGCTAGATTGAGATAACCATTGTCACAATGAGTGAAATTTCTTCCTCGGCACACAATTAATTACTTAGTTAGTAGGAAAGTTCCCAGAAGGTGGATCTTAAACAGAAAAGTCCATTAGCTACATTGTGATAATCATGTCACAATTAGTGAAATTTCTTCTTTGGTACACAATTAATTATTTAGTAGGGAGGTTCCCAGAAGGTGGATCTTAAACAGAAAGGTTCGTTAGCTACATTGTGATACTCATGTCACAATCAGTGAAATTTCTTCCTTGGTACACAATAAATTACTTAGTAGGAGGGTTCCCCACCCGTAGGCTTATGGGGGTATAATTGATAAATCAAAATGGAATATATCAAAACATCACGTTGTACACAAATATAACTCCATTTTTATTTGTCGATTAGATCTCAATAAATCTGGAGCAGAAGAGAATTCCATATCTCTACAGCAGCCCATGAAAGAGAGAGGGGATCCGTGTTTTAACTTGGATCTGTTACTGGAAAGGGGTCCCAGTCCAGACCCCAAGAGAGGGTTCTCGGATCTCACACAAGTAAGAACTCAGGGTGAGTACACAGAGTAAAGTGAAGGCAAGTTTATTAAGAAAGTCAAGGAATATGGCTGCTCCATAGGCAGAGCAGTCCAGAGGGCTGTCAGTCGGCTATTTTTGTGGTTATTTCTTGATCGTATGCTAAACAAGGGGTGGACTGTTCATGAGTTTTCCAGGAAAGGGGAGGGGATTTCCCTGGAACTGAGAGTCCCTCCCTCGTTTAGCTTCTGGAAGTTGCCATGGCATCTGTAAGCTGTCTTGGTGGCGGTGGGAGTGTCTTTTAGCATGCAAATGCATTATAATTAGCAAATAATGTGCAGTGAGGACGACCAGAAGTCACTTTTGTTGCCATCTTGGATTTGGCAGGTTTTGGCTGGCTTCTTTGTTGCATCTTTGTGTCTTTGGGTCTTTGTGACCTGTATGTTGTGACCTGTCTCATCCTGTGACTTAGAAAGCCTCAACCCCCTGGGAATGCAGTCCAGCAGGTTGCAGCCTCAGTTTACCCAGCCCCGGTTCAAGATGGAGTCACTCTGGTTTGAAGGCCTCTGATTCACCTGGAGACACATTCCGGCTGTACCAGGCCTCCACCAGGAAAGCTCCCATGATAACCACAATTACGGCAGCCAGACCCAGTCGTACGAAGTTACCCAGGGAGTAGTTGCTCGATGTGGTACCTGGGGGAACTGAAAGAGAGAAGGGGCTCAGCACTGACCCTCAGAGGGTATCCCTCCTTCTCAAATGGCCCCACCAAATCTGACTATCATCACCCACTTAATGTTTTCGGTTTTTTGGTTTTTTTTTTTGAGACGGAGTTTTACTCTTGTTGACCAGGCTGGAGTGCAGTGGTGTAATCTCAGCTCACCACAACCTCTGCCTCCCAGGTTCAAGCCTCCCTGCCTCAGCCTCCCAAGTAGCTGGGATTACAGGCATGTGCCACCATGCCCGGCTAATTTTATATTTTTAGTAGAGACGGGGTTTCGCCATGTTGGCCAGGCTGGTCTTGAACTCCCGACCTCAGGTGACCCGCCCACCTCAGCCTCCCAAAGTGCTGGGATTACAGGTGTGAGCCACCGCGCCCGGCCACCCACTTAATGTTTTCTAGCCAGTAGTCCACTGTACTTTAAAGTTTTAATTGAACTTTTTTTTTTTCTTGAGATCAAGTTTTGCTCTTGTTGCCCAGACTGGAGTGTAATGGCACAATCTCAGCTCACTACAACCTCTGCCTCCCGGGTTCAAGTGATTCTCCTGTCTCAGCCTCCCAAGCAGCTGAGATTATGAGCATGTGCCACCACACCCGGCTAATTTTGTATTTTTAGTAGAGACGGGGTTTCTCCATGTTGGTCAGGCTGGTCTCGAACTCCTGACCTCAGGTGATCCACCCGCCTTGGCCTCCCAAAGTGTTGGGATTATAGGCATAAACCACCATGCCTGGCCATAATTGAGCTCTTTAAAGTTTTAATCCCTGAAAACAAAAGATGGAATCTTTGTTGTTGTTTTTGAGACGACGTCTCACTCTGTTGCTCAGGCTGGAGTGCAGCGACGCAGTCTCGGTTCACTGCAACCTCCACCTCCTGGGTTCAAGCGATTCTCCTGCCTCAGCCTCCCGAATAGCTAGGATTACAGGCACCTACCACCACACCCGGCTAATTTTTGTATTTTTAATAGAGATGGGTTTTCGCCATGTTGGCCAAACTGGTTTCGAACTCCTGGCCTCAAGTGATTCGCCTGCCTCGGCCTCCCAAGGTGCTGGGATTACAGGCCTGAGCCACCGCGCCCGGCCAAGATATGCAATCCTAATGAGTTGTAATGGGAGTTCCTTTATCTTCCTTCCTTGATATTCACTCCACCTTAGCTCTCTTCCTTCGTTTATTTGCTCTTTATCCCATTTCCACCTTCCCACATTGCCTTTTCTCCTCCCGCATCCTTATGTTAAGGAATAGTCTTGGGGCAGCACATGAGACGGAAGGAGCTCTACAGAGCCCCGAATTCCGTGGCTGGATCAGCATCCTCGCAGCCCACACTGCTGTGCAGCAGTGCACCTGAGAAAGTTTGAGTTGAGGCCGGGCACAGTAGCTCACGCCTGTAATCCCAGCACTGTGGGAGGCTAAGGTAGGAGGATTGCTTGAGGCCAGGAGTTTGAGAGCAGCCTGGGCAACATGGCGAAACCCCATGTCTACTAAAAATACAAAAAAATTAGCCGGGTGTGGTGGCGGGTGCCTGTAATCCCAGCTACTCAGGAGGCTGAGGCAGGAGAATTACTTGACCTGGGCCTGGGGTTGGGGGGTGGAGGCTGCAGTGAGCTCAGATTGTGCCACTACACTCCAGCTTGGGCGACAGAGTGAGACTCCATCTCAAAGAAAACAAACAAACAAACAAAACCCTAGCCTCCAGATTTTCAGGGAGGCTGATTTGAGTAATAATAAAACTCTGATTGGCCAGGTGCAGTGGCTCATGCCTGTAATCCCAGCACTTTGGGAGGCCCAAGCGGGCAGATCACGAGGTCAGGAGTTCGAGACCAGCCTGGCCAATATGGTAAAACCCCATCTCTACTAAAAATACAAAAATTAGCCAGGCAGGGTGGCACACATATAGTCCCAGCTACTCGGGAGGCTGAGGCAGAAGAATCGTTTGAACCTGGGAGGCAGAGGTTTCATTGAGCCGAGATCGCGCCACTGCACTCCAGCCTGGGCGACAGAGCAAGACTCCGTCTCAAACAAACAAACAAACAAAAAAACTCTGGTCTCCCACTTACCTGGCTCAATGTGTATTAAACTCTTTTTTGCAATTCCTCTGTCTTGATGAATGGGCTTCATCCAGGCACCCGGCAAGAGCTGTAATGTAACTCATTACAGCAGTTACAATAGATGAAAAATAATTTACAGAGCTGAGGAAGCAGAGTGCTAGCACCCAGTAAGGCAGGAAACAAGATACTTTCAGAAGAATTCTAGCAGTCAATAAAAGACATGGGTAGACTTCGCATCCACGGCATAGAAGCAGGAGGCTGTGCAAACACCATGTTCTGAGGATGAGATAATTTTTTTTTTTAATTTGAAACTGGGTCTCACTATGTTGCCCAGGCTGGTCTCAAACTCCTGGGCTCAAGCAATTCTCCAGCCTCAGCCTCCCAAAGTGCTGGGATTACAGGCCTGAGCCACCGCACATGACTGAGAAAGAATTATTGAGAGTGAAATCACTAACACCAAGAAAAACCAAAACACGCCATGCACAGTGGTTCACACCTGCAATCCCAGCCCTTTGGGAGGCCGAGGTGAGTGGATCACCTGAGGCCAGGGGTTCAAGACCAGCCTGGTCAACATGGTCAGAACCCCATCTCTACTAAAAATACAAAAATTAGCCAGGCGTGGTGGTGGGCACATGTAATCCCAGCTACTCAAGTGGCTGAGGCAGGAGAATTGCTTAAACTCGGGAGGCAGAGGTTGCAGTGAGCTGAGATCGCACCACTGCACTCCACCCTGGGCAACAGAGCGAGACTCTGTCTCAAAAACAAAATGAAACAAAACAAAACAAAAAACCAAAACGCTAAGAGATGCAAAGACTGGTAGAAGGAATCTGGTGCTGGTAGATTCATAATTTTCAAAAACAGCCTAGAAATTTTCCAAGGATGTAGTATAACAAAAAGGCAAAGGAGGGCCGGGCACGGTGGCTCACACCTGTAATCCCAGCACTTTGGGAGGCCGAGGCAGGCAGATCACCTGAGGTCAGGAGTTCAAGACCAGCCTGGTCAACACGGTGAAACCTTCATCGCTACTAAAAATAGAAAAATTAGCCGGATGGGTGGTGCAGGCCTGTAATCCTAGCTACTTGGGAGGCTGAGGCAGGAGAATCACTTGAACCTGGAAGGTGGAGGTTGCAGTGAGCGAAGATCGCGCCATTGCACTCCATCCTGGCAACAGAGTGAGACTCCATTTCAAAAAAAAAAAAAAAAAAAAAAGGCAAAGGAGTGGAAATTGTGAAAGGGAGGTTTTTTTGTTGTTTTGTTGTTTTTGTTTTTGTTTTTTGTTTTTTGTTTTTGAGACAGAGTCTCACTCTATTGCCCAGGCTGGAGTGCAGTGGCAAGATCTTGGCTCACTGCAACCTCCGCCTCCCATGTTCAAGCAATTCTCCTGCCTCAGCCTCCCAAGTAGCTGGGTCTACAGGTGCATGCCATCATACCTGGCTAATTTTTTATTTTTAGTAGAGACGGGGTTTCACTATGTTGGCCAGGCTGGTCTCAAATCCTTGACCTCAGATGATCCATCCACCTCGGCCTCCCAAAGTGCTGGGATGACAGGCATGAGCCACCACGCCAGGCCAGAAAGGGAAGATTTTGTTAAGAGCGATGATATTGTAAGTAATGAAGAAATGAGATTCACAGAAGAACAAAACAATCTCTGATTAAAAACAACACACACAGTTCCTCAAAACCATACACGCCCTTACCTGTCACCAATATCTCAAGCTGATCACTGGGTTCTGAGGCCCAGAAGGGAGACTTTGTCTGGTAGTACATGCAGCTGTAGTTCCCAGCATCGCCGGCTGTCACGTCCACCAGAGAGAAGTCTATCTCCTTCCCCGCTGGACTCTGCAGCTGGATGGGTGATGGCGTCCCTGCCTTCAGTAGAGCGAACATGATAGGCACAAACAATTGGTCTCGCTTCTGGCACTGCAGAGTCACCCTTCCACCTGCGGTCACTGTACCCCTTTGGTAGGTTCGGAGGAAAGGTTTAGATAAATGTCCTGTAAGAGAAGTCAGGTTCTGAGGTCCTGGGGAGAAGTCTGGAATCCCCCACTCACCCCTGTTCTCCTGGCCGGAGGCTCTCGTGGAGTGTGGGAAATGAGAGATTCCTGATCTCTTCTACCTTCCTCCACTTCCTACTCCGACCCCAGGACAGAGATTCTCCCTCCTACAAGACCTGTGTAAGGCCTGGCATGGTGGCTCACACCTGTAATCCCAGCACTTTGGGAGGCCAAGGCGGGTGGATCACCTGAGGTCAGGAGTTCGAGACCAGCCTGCCCAACATGGCGAAACCCTGTCTCTACTAAAAATACAAAAATTAGCCGGGCATGGTGGCAGGCACCTGTAATCCCAGCTGCTCAGGAGGCTGGAGCAGGAGAATCACTTGAGCCCAGGAGGCGGAAGTTGCAGTGAGCCGAGATGGCACCACTGCACTCTGGCCTGGGCGACAAAGTATAAAACCAACATATGCAATTTCGTTCCTGTCTCTCTCCCTCTCCCATCACCCCCAACTACTCTGAAGGTGGGACCCCTTTTCTCCCTCTGTTCCTCCACTTCCTCCCTCATCCCCTGTCCCCCGTATGTCATTGGCAGGCACCCTGTCTGTACCTGTCACCAACAGTAGAAGGACGTCACTGCGCTGTGAAAGGATGTGGGGGGATGCTTTTCTGTAGTATTCACAGGTGTACTCTCCAGCATTTCTGACTTTTAGATTATTGAGGTGAAATTCGGCCGCGCCCTCTGTAGAATCAAGGGGCTTCGGGGACTCCAGAATAATTCCTCCCTTCCTGAGAACAAAGCTCACACCTCTGGCAGGAGTCCAACATCGCAGCGTCACATTGCTGTTGGCAGGGACCACCGAGCTGGGCCAGGCACTGAGGGACGGCTTGGGCAGTGACCCTGGAAGGAAGCAGAGCCTGATGCTGGACCCGATGCCCTCCCCTGCTCTCAGGAAGCCCTTTTTAAAATTTATTATTATTATTATTATTTTGAGATGGAGTCTCCCTCTGTTGCCCAGGCTAGAGTGCAGTGGTGCAATCTCAGTTCACTGCAACCTCCGTCTCCTGGGTTAAAGCAATTCTCCTGCCTCAGCCTCCCAAGTAGGTGGGATTACAGGCACGCACCACCACACCCAGCTAATTTTGTATTTTAGTAGAGACAAGGTTTCACCATGTTGGCCAGGCTGGTCTCGAACTCCTGACCTCAGGTGATCCACCCACCTTGGCCTCCCAAAGTGCTGGGATTACAGGCGTGAACCCCTGAGCCCAATCAGGAATCCCATTTTAAGAAGGGAAGCGGGCTGGGTGCGGTGGCTCACGCCTGTAATCCCAGCACCTTGGGAGGCCAAGGCAGGCAGATCACGAGGTCATGAGATCGAGACCATCCTGGCCAACATGGTGAAACTCCGTCTCTACTAAAAATACAAAAATTAGCTGGGCGTGGTGGCAAGCACCCGTAGTCCCAGCTACTTGGGAGGCTGAGACAGGAGAATCACTTGAGCCCAGGAGGCGGAGGTTGCTGTAAGCCGAGATTGCACCACCGCACTCCAGCCTGGCGAAAGAGTGAGACTCCGTCAAAAAAAAAAGAGAAAAAGAGGGGGAAGGGGAAGAGAACAGCAGGGGATTTGGGATGACAGGCCAAGGAGGGTGTAGTTGAAGAAACACTCACCATCTCCCCTTGTGTCTCCTTGGCCCACGCACAGTCCTGCAAGACAATCCTCCGTGAGCCAGAAGCCCCTACCTGGAGCCACGTCACCCCCTGCCCTGACCCCTGGAGATCGTCCCAGAGTCTCCTGCTGAGAACAGACCCTTAGAGGTCATACGCTCAGGAGTTCTCATTCTCCCCACACTGGACTGTGGCTTCTGCTCGACTTCCAGCTCCTCCATCCTTTCCCAGCGATTCTCCTTGACCATCCTGTGTGGCTGTCACCTCCCCCTGCTCCAGGCCTTTCCCACAAATCCTTCCATTCTCATCTTCTGTTTGAAAACAGCACTCATTCTTACCATTTCTTTCTTTCTTTCTTTTTCTTTCCTTTCTTTCTTTCTTTTTTCTTTCTTTCATTCATTCTTTCTTTCATTCATTCCAGAGACAGAGTCTCGCTCTTTCTTTCTTTTTCTTTCTTTCTTTCTTTCATTCATTCTTTCTTTCTTTCATTCATTCTTTCTTTCTTTCATTCATTCCAGAGACAGAGTTGCGCTCTGTCGCCCAGGCTGGAGTAGAGTGACGCAATCTCGGCTCACTGCAACCTCCGCCTCCCGGGTTCAAGTGATTCTCCTGCCTCAGCCTCCCAAATAGCTGGGATCACAGGCATGCGCCAGGACGCCCGGCTGAGTTTTGTATTATTAGTAGAGACAGGGTTTCACCATATTGGCCAGGCTGGTCTCGAACTCCTGACCTCAGGTGATCCACCCACCTCGGCCTCCCAAAGTGCCGGGATTACAGGCATGAGCTTTGTGCCCAGCTTCTTTTTATTTTTTAATTTTTCATTTTATTATTGTGTTTTGAGACAGGGTCTCTCTCTGTTGCCCAGGTTGGAGTGCAGTGGCTCCATCATGGCTCACTGTAGCCTCCCAGGCTCAAGTGATCCTCCCACCTCAGCCTCCCGAGTAGCTGGGATCACAGGTGTGCACCACCACACCCGGCTAATTTTTTAGTCTTTCCCAGAGACAGAGTCTCCCTATGTTGCCCAGGCTCATGATCTCTTTTAATCCCTTCATGACTCCAAACAGGACAAAATTTATTGTTTGGTGTCCTGTAACAAGCCTCAAAACATCCAAATGGTCATTCCAGAAAGGGGAAAGCATACGTTCCTCCCTGTTTCACACATGGCTGCATTTGCTCTTCCTCCTTTTTAATTTTTTTTGATAGAGACAGGGCTGGGCTGGTTAAGAACTCTTGACCATGCCGGGCGCGGTGGCTCCCGCCTGTAATCCCAGCACTTTGGGAGGCCGAGGCAGGTGGATCACGAGGTCAGGAGTTGAAGACCAGCCTGGCCAACATGGTGAAACCCCGTCTATACTAAAAATACAAAAATTAGCCAGGTGTGGTGATGGGCGCCTGTGATCCCAGCTACTCAGGAGGCTGAGGCAGAGAATCGCTTGAACCCAGGAGGCAGAGTTTGCAATGAGCTGAGATCGCACCACTGCACTCCAGCCTGGCCACAGCGCGAGACTCAGTTTCAGGAAAGAAAAAAAAAAGAGAAAGAAAAGAAAAAACATAATATCAAGCCTGTTTATGAACATTATCATAATAATGAGATTGATCTAACTCAAAGAAAGTTAGTTAGGCCTGTGTCTCTGAGAGATTTCCTCTTTTTCCCCTGTGTGAACAGTTTTAGGTCTCAGCAGGAAAAAGGAGAAGTTACCAGGCGTTTGTGCTACTATTACATCCATGAGCCAATCCATAAACTGACACTTCAAGTTTTGCAAAAGGAAATTGTGAACACCCAAAATGTTCAAACAACGTAAGTGTCCATCCATGGAAGAATGGATAAACACAGTGTGCTCTATATATTCAATGGGATTTTTCTTCTTTTTCTTCGTTTTTTTTTTTTTTTTTTTTGAGACATAGTTTCATTCTTGTTGCCCAGGCTGGAGTGCAATGGCGCGATCTCGGCTCACTGCAACCTCCGCCTCGCGGGTTCAAGTGATTCTCCTGCCTCAGCCTCCCAAGTAGCTGGGATTACAGCTCACTGCAACCTCCGCCTTGCAGGTTCAAGTGATTCTCCTGCCTCAGCCTCCCAAGTAGCTGGGATTACAGCTCACTGCAACCTCCGCCTTGTGGGTTCAAGTGATTCTCCTGCCTCAGCCTCCCAAGTAGCTGGGATTACAGGCATGCACCACCATGCCCAGCTAATTTTGTATTTTTTAGTAGAGACAGGGTTTCACCATGTTGGTCAGGCTGGTCTTGAACTCCCCACCTCAGGTGATCCGCCCATCTTAGCCTCCAAAATGCTTTTTTCTTTTTCTTTTCTTTCTTTCTTTTTTTTTTTTTTTTTTTTTTGAGGCAGGGTCTCGCTCTGCTGCCCAGGCTGGAGTGCAATGATGTGATCCTAGTTCATTCCAGCATCAACTCCCTGGGCTCAGGTGATCCTCCCACCTCTGCCTCCCGAGTAGCTGGGACTACAGCTGCACACCACCATGCCCAGCTCATTTTTGTTGTTGTTGTTGTTTTTAATATTTATTTATTTATTTTGAGATGGAGTTTCGCTCTTGTTGCCCAGACTGGAGTGCAATGGCATGATCTCGGCTCACTGCAACCTCTGACTCCTGGGTTCAAGCGATTCTCTTGCCTCAGCCTCCCAAGTAGCTGGGATTACAGGCGCCCGCCACCACGCATGGCTAATTTTTATATTTTTAGTAGAAATGGGGTTTCACCCTATTGGCCAGGCTGTTCTCGAACTCCTTACGTCAGGTCATTGCAAAAAAAGTGCTGGGATTACAGGCGTGAGCCACCATGCCCAGCCTCATTTTTGTATTTTTTGTAGAGACAGGGTTTCACCATGTTGCCCAGGCTAGTCTCGAACTCCTGGGCTCAAGCGATCTGCCTGCCTCAGACTCTCAAAGTGCTGGGATTACAGGTGTGAGACACTGTGCTCGGCCTACAGTGGGATTTTAGCCATAAAAAGGAAAGGAAATCTGACATATCCTACAATATAGATGTAGCTCGAGGATATTATGCTGAGTAAACTAAGTCAGGCAAAAAAGAACAAGTGTTATGATTCCACTCATACATCCTAGAATAAGCAAATTCATAGAGATAAAAATTAGAATGGGCTGGACACGGTGGCTCACGCCTGTAATCCCAGCACTTTGGGAGGCCGAGACAGGCAGATCACAAAGTCAGGAGATCGAGACCAGCCTGGTCAACATGGTGAAACCTTGTCTCTACTAAAAAAAAAAAAAAAAAAAACTTAGCCAGGCATGGTGGTGAGCGCCAGTGATCCCAGCTACTCGGGAGGGAGAGGCAGGAGAATCGCTTGAACCCAGGAGGCGGAGGTTGCAGTGAGCTGAGATTAGGCCACTGTACTCCAGCCTGGGTGACGAAGCAAGACTCCATCTCCGAAAAAAAAAAAAAAAAAAAGAAATTAGAATGGAGGTTACCAGGGGCTGGGAGGACCGCGGCAAATACAGAGTTATTGGTTAGAGGGTGTAGCGTTCATATTGGGAATTGTGATTGTTAATTTGATTTATCAGCTAGACCAGGCCACAGGATGCTGGGATATCTGGTTAAACATTATTTCTGGGCGTGTCTGTGAGGGTGTTTTTAGAAAGATCAGCATTTGAATCTAATGCTGAGTCGGGCAGGTTGGCCTTCCTAATGGAGGTGGGTATTCTGCTGAGGGCCAGGATGGGAGAAAAAGGTGGCAGAGCCACCACAGTGGCTCACGCCTGTAATCCCAGCACTTTGGGAGGCCAAGGCAGAAGGGCTGCTTGAGGCCAGGAGTTTGAGACCAGCCTGAGTAACATAGTGAGATCCCGTCTCTACAAAAAATTTAAAAATTACACGGGGCACTGTGGCTCACGCCTGTAATCCCAGCACTTTGGGAGGCTGAGGCTGAGGCGGGCAGATCACCTGAGGTGATCACCTGAGGGAGCTCAAGACCAGCCTGGCCAACATGATGAAACCCCGTCTCTACTAAAAAGTACAAAAAATCAGCCGGGTGTGTGGTGGGCACCTGTAATCTCAGCTACCCAGGAGGCTGAGGCAGGAGAATTGCTTGAGCCCAGGAGGTGGAGGCTGCAGTGAGCTGTGGTCATACCACTGCACTCCAGCCTGGGTACAGAGTGAGACTTTGTCTCAAAAAAAGGAAAAGGAGGGAAGGAAGGAAGGAAGTAAGGAAGGAAGGAAGGAAGGGAAAGAGAGAGAGGAAGGAAGGAATGAAGGAGAAAGAGAAAGAAAGAAAGGAAGGAAGGAAGAAAGAAAGAAAGAAAGAAAGAAAGAAAGAAAGAAAGAAAGAAAGAAAGAAAGAAAGAAAGAAAGAAAGCAAGCAAGCAAGCAAGCAGGCAAGCAAGCGGGGGCTCACGCCTGTAATCCCAGCACTTTGGGAGGCCGAGGCGGGCAGATCAAGAAGTCAGGAGATGGAGACCATCCTGGCTAACACAGTGAAACCTACGAAAAAAGCCGGGCATGGTGGCGGGCGCCTGTAGTCCCAGCTACTCGGGAGGCTGAGGCAGGAGAATGGCGTGAACCCGGGAGGCGGAGCTTGCAGTGAGCAGAGATCGCACCACTGCACTCCAGCCTGGGCGACAGAGCGAGACTCCATCTCAAAAAAAAAAAAAAGAAAGAAAGAGAGAGAGAGGAAGGAAGGGAGGAAGGAAGGAAGGAAGGAAGGAAGGAAGGAAGGGAAGGAGAAAAAGAAAGAAAGGAAGGAAGGAAGGAAGAAAGAAAGAGGTTTTAGTGTAGATAGTGGTGATGGTTACACAGCGGCCTCAATTTACTTTATAGTTATCTATTTGACACTAAATTTTTATTTATGGTATTAAGGTTTCTGGGCCAGGCACAGTGGCTCACATCTGTAATCCCAGCACTTTGAGAGACTGAGGTGGGCAGATCACCTGAGGTCGGGAGTTCGAGACCAGCCTGGCCAACATGGTGAAACACTGTCTCTACTAAAAATACAAAAATTAACCAGGCATGGTGGCGCACCCCTGTAATCCAGTTACTCAGGAGGCTGAAGCAGGAGAATCGCTTGAACCCGGGAGGCAGAGGTTGTGGTGAGCCGAGATCATGCCATTGCACTACAGCCTGGGCAACAAGAGCAAAACTCTGTCTCAAAAAAATAAAATAAAATAAAATAAAATAAGGTTTCTATTCTGAATACTTTTACTTACACACAAAAAGTCAGAGTTGATCCTGAGAAAAGGGGTAAGCCAATGAAGCCAGGTGGTGGAGGCATTCAGCAAAACTCACGAAGTTGAAACTACAGGAGTTGAAGTTTGCAGAGCACTCGTTTCCAGGGAATGTCTGCACTGCACTCAGCAGGACGTCTCACTCCTCCCGTGTGCTCAGTAAGCCAAAGTTGATGTTATTATTTCCATCCCCAGCCCAACTATCCCACCAGTTCCATGATTTTCTGCAGTCCCAGTGGATAGCCCTGTGAGACTTACTGAAACAGAGGAGGGAAAGCAGCTTAGGGATCATGATGGCTCCTTAGCCCTCCCAGAGTCCGTCTTGGGTTCTGCAGTCCACAGATGGGAGAAGAGCTGGAGTCGTCGCTGCCTCTCTCCCACCCCAGAGTGTGGGCAGTAACAGCCTTTCCTAGCCTTTCAGTTTCCCCTCCCATATCCACATTCAGGAAACATGTTGATGTTGCTGATTGCAACATGCTCCTTACACACACCAGTGTTCGAGCACTTGACTCACAGGAAATGCTCCTCTGTCTCAGGCAGATTTCAGGCATCAAACAGGTAACCCCGAAAATGCTTCAGACTTGGCCCTGAAGGGTTCGTATTGAAGAGATGAAAGCACTTCACTCTTTTTTTTTTTTTTGAGATGGTGTCTGGTTCTGTTACCTGGGCTGGAGTCCAGTGGCACGATCTCAGGTCATTGCAACTTCAGCCTCCTGGGTTCAAGCAATTCTCCGGCCTCAGCCTCCCAAGTAGCTGGGATTATAGGCGCATGCCACCATGCCCGGCTAATGTTTGTATTTTTAGTTAAGATGAGGTTTCACAAGTTAGCTGGGCTAGTCTTGAACTCCTCGCCTCAAGTGATCCACCTGCCTCGGCCTCCCAAACTGCTGGGATTACAGGCATGAGCCACTGTGCCAGGCCTTCATCACCATTTTTTTTTTTTCTTTTGAGACAGAGTTCCACTCTTTCGCCCAGGCTGGAGTGAAGTGGCAAAATCTCATCTCATTGCAACCTCCACCCCCCAGGTTCAAGCGGTTCTCCTGCCTCAGCCTCCCAAGTAGCTGGGATTACAGGAGCCCTTCAACATGCCCAGTTAATTTTTGTATTTTTTAGTAGAGATGAGGTTTCACCATGTTGGCCAGGCTGGTCTCAAACTCCTGATCTCAAGTGATCCACCCACCTCAGCCTCCCAAAGTGCTGGGATTACAGGCATGAGCCACTGTGCCCAGCCAGTCATGAGCTCATTTTTTAAGTTCAGAATATTTCAGTACATATCTATCTTTATCAAATAAGAACCATTTTAAAAATAATATAAGCACCACAGCACTGTCACATCAAGAAAGTTAAGAGTACCTCCTTGATACCAGCTAATACCCATTCAGTACTCAAATTTCCCTGATTGTCTCAAAAATGTCATTTCTATCAGGTTTTTAAAGAATAAATCAGGATCCAATAAAAGTCTACAGATTGCATTTGATAATTATGTTAATTTAGCCTGGCGCAGTGGCTCATGCCTGTAATCCCAACACTTTGGGAGACCGGGGCAGGTAGATAACCTGAGGTCAGGAGTTCGAGACCAGCCTGGCCAACCATGGTGAAACCTCATCTCTACTAAAAATACAAAAATTAGCTGGGCGTGGTGGTGCACGCCTGTAATCCCAGCTACTCAGGAGGCTGAGGCAGGAGAACTGCTTGAACCTGGGAGGCAAAGGTTGCAGTGAGCTGAGATCGCACCATTGCACTCCAGCCTGGGCAACAGAGTGAGACTCAGTCTCAAAAAAAAAAAAAAAAATGTTAATTTGAATCAGACAAAATTTTTTATTTTTTTGTTAAAATAAGAAATCAAGCAAGTTAGTTTTTAACCATGTTTTTTTTCATCTTGCATTTGGAAGAAGAGCAAAATGCCCCGAAGTCTCGTTTTTGTTTTCGGATTTTTTGTCTTGATAGCACCTACTCTTCTTACTGTTTTGGAACATAGAAAAGTCAACAAGGCAACAAATTATAAGGAGTAAAACCAACTATAATTACAGGTGTTTCTTTGAAAGTTATTTTCACAAGATGTGGCAATGATTTTTAAAGGCTTGGGACTCTTACAAGACCCTTTTGTTCAAATAACAGTTTTGTGTATGAATTTATTTCAACAGAGAACAATTTAGTAATGTTTGTGAATATTCATTTAGTTCTCCATATTGTACCAGAAAACAAGACTGATATTCTTGTGAATCTTCTCAATTCAACTCTTTATCAAATCAGATTCCTTAAATTAGTGTTGTGACTCAGAAAAAATCTTTCTCCTTATGCAGTATCAGGGAAAAGAGGACATCTCCTATATTTCTTCTTAACATCTCTGTTGCTAACAAGGAATATGCATATTTTAAAACTAGGCTCTGGAATTTTATCAGTCAACAGGAAAGGCCTGGTAAAGTTCCATTCCACTTGGAAATGAAGAAAGGAGACCCTGATTCAAAAAACGAAAAAAGAAAGAATAAAGAATAGCTTAGGGCCAGGCAAGGTGGATCACACCTGTAATCCTAAGATTTTGGGAGGTGAGGTAGGTGGAAGGCTTGATCCCAGGAGTTCAACACCAGCCTGGGCAACATGGCCTAATCCCATCTCTACAAAAAATACAAAAATTAGCCAGGCTTGGTGGTATATACCTGTAATCCCAGCTTCTCAGGAGGCTGAGGTGGGAGAATCACTTGAACCTGGGAGGGGGAGGTGGCAGTGAGCTGAGATCGCACCATTGTACCCCAGCCTGGGCAACAAGAGTGAAACTCCATCTCAAAAAATAATAATAAAATAAATAAATAAATAATCATTCACTTTGTTAGGTGTTTATCACACCTAACCTTAAGAATATGTTACCAAAATAAAAAGTCTTATAGATGAAATCATATTATATCTGAGGTTTACTTTAAAATACTCCAGGAGAAAATTTAAAATAGACTTGGGGGAGGGGACTTATCTGTAGTTATCTGCACATAATCTACATGATTATCTCAAAGCCATCCTTTTGCTGTTGAGAATTCTGATTTTTAGCTGGGCCCATTGGCACCCAGGTAAAAAACTACATTCTTCAGTGTCACTTACAGGTAGATGTAGCCGTAAGTCTTCATCTAGGACAATGATAAATAAGCATAAATATTGTAGACAGCTTCCAAAAGGTTCTTTAATGAAGTACACTTTCCTTCCTTCACTTAACTGCCTAAAATGTGGATGTGATGACTGGTATTCTAGCGTCATCTTGAACCATGAAGATGAGATGAGGTTCAAGATGGTGGAGGGTGAGCCAGAAGTAACTTAGGTCCATAATGCTTTTTGGAGTCACTGTGCCAGCCTTGGACTGCTCCCTTCAGATTTATTCTACATAAGGGAGAAATCAATTGGTATTAGTTTTAAGTCATCATTATTTAGTTCTCTTTTGGGTTTAGGTTATCAATTACTGTGTTAACAAACCACCCCAAAACTGAGTAACTTAGAGTAACAATCTTGTTTTTTTTTTTTTTTAATCATTCCTGATCTGGTGAGATGACTGGGCTCAGTTGAGCGGTTCTTCGGTTCAATGTGATGTCTTCCTGGGCTTCAGTCATCAGGGTGGCTCAACTGAGCTGGAATCTCCAAGATGGCACTTGCAAATGGCTGGCTGTTGATGCTGGATGTTGGTTGAAAGCTCGGCTAGGACTGTTGAATGATGTACCTGCACATGGCCTCTCCATTTGATTCAGACTTCTTGGAGGATAGCATCTGGGTTTCAAGAGGGGATGTCACAAGAGAGCTTTCTAAAATAGAGAAGGCGGCTGGGCATGGTGGCTCACGTCTGTAATCCCAGCACTTTGGGAGGCCGAGGTGGGTGGATCACCTGAGGTCAGGAGTTCAACATCAGCCTGGCCAACATGGTAAAACCCCGTCTCTACTAAAAACAAAATTAAAAAAAATTAGCCGGGTGTGTTTGTGCACACCTGTAATCCCAGCTACTCAGGAGGCCGAGGCAGGAGAATTGCTTGAACCTGGGAGGCGGAAGTTGCAGTGAGCCGAGATCACACCACTGCACTCCAGCCTGGGCAACAGAATGAGACTCTGTCTCAAATAAATAAATAAATAAATAAAATAAAGAAGGCAAAAGTTGTTTGTCCCTTTAAAGACTAAGCCTGGAACTGACACAGTTTCTCTTCTTCTACAGTCTTAAGGAAAGGCCAGATTCAAGGGGAGGGAAAATAAACTCTACCTCTCTATAGGGACAGTGACAAAGAATTGGAGGCCATCTTTAGTCTGTCATGTGTTATGGTCAATGGAAATAGATATATATATATTTACTGAGTGCCTGAGTCCCACCGAGAGATTTTAATTATTTTTTTATTTTTGTTTTTTTAAGATGGAATTTTGCTCTTGTTGCCCAGGCTGAAGTGCAATGGCATGATCTCAGCTCACTGCAACCTCTGCCTCCCGGGTTCAAGCGATTCTCCTGCCTCAGCCTCCCAAGTAGCTCGGATTACAGGCAAGTGCCACCACACCCAGTTAATTTTGTATTTTTTAGTAGAGATGGGATTTCTCCATGTTGGTCAGGCTGGTCTTGAACTCTTGACCTCAGGTGATCTGCCCACCTTGGCCTCCCAAAGTGCTGGGATTACAGGTGTGAGCCACCGTGCCCAGTCGAGATTTTAATTTTTATAATGGGTATAGGATGAGGCCTGGGTGTCTCATTCTGTGTTTTAAATGTTCCTGGGAAATTCTAATGTGCAGTCAAGTTTGAGAACCACTGGGTTGGAACACATAACCTCCTTCCCATCTCAGACCCTGAAACATCCTGAAAACTCCTGTATCTGGAGTTTTTCCCCCATTTTTGCTTGGCTAACTTTGACTCTTCCCTCAGAAACCAGCTTCAGAATCTTTTCTTTAGCAAAGACTTCCCTGCAAGTTCTTTAACAGCACTTATCTCAGCTGTGACAAAATCATCAATGGTGTAATTGTGTCTTTTTAATGTCTTTTCCCCTATTCTTCATAATCGTCAAAGTAAAGGATAGCTCTTCTCTCAGTCAGAACTATTAATAGATGCTGTAATGGAAATGAAACAAGACTCTCAGACTCTTGTTAAAGTAAGAAGTCTAGCAGAGTCTCAGGCTTTAATTTTTTTTTTCCGATCATAAATGTGGGAGAAAGATCATTTAACCTGCTGCTAAGGTTTGAATATTTGTTCCCTTGAAAACTCATGTTGAACCAGCCTGGGCAACATAGGGAGACCCTGTCTCTACAAATAATTTAAAAATTAGCCAGGTGAGGTGGCACATGCCTGTGATCCCAGCTACTCAGGAGGCTGAAGTGGGAGGATCACCTGAGCCCAGAAAGCTGAGGATGCAGTGAACCGTGATTGCACCACTGCACTCCAGCCTGTGCAACACAGTGAGACCCTGTCTCAAAAAATAAATAGGTAAATAAGCTGAGTGTGGTGGCTCACACCTGTAATCTCAGCACTTTAGGAAGCCAAGGTGGGCAGATCACATGAGGTCAGGAGTTTGAGACTAGCTGGCCAACATGATGAAACCCTGTCTCTACTAAAAATACAAAAATTACCCGGGCATGGTGGCACGTGCCTGTAATACCAGCTACTCAGGAGGCTGAGGCAGGAGAATCACTTGAACCTGGGAGGTGGAGGTTATAATGAGCTGAGATCATGCCACTGCTGTCCAGCCTGGGTGACATAGCAAGACATTGTCTCAAAAAATACATAAATAAATAATAAATAAATAAACTTATGGTGAAACTGAATCCCTAATGTGGCCGTATTGATAGGTCGGGCATTTAAGAGGTGATTGGGTCATGAGGACTCTTTTCTCATGAATGAACTAATCCATTCATGGATTAATGGATTAGTGAGTTAATGGATTAATGGGTTACCCTGGGAGTGAGACTGGTGGCTTTATCAGAAGAGGAAGAGAGACTTAAGTAGCACGCTCAGCTCTTTTGCCCTGTGATGCCCTGTGCCACCTCGGAACCCTCCAGAGAGTCCCCAACAGCAAGAAGGTCCTCACCAGATGCAGCCCCTCCACCTTGGACTTTCCAACCTCCATTAACTACAGGAAATAAATTCCTTTTCTTTATAAGTTATCTGGCTTCAAGTGTTCTGTTCTAAGCAACAGAATACAGACTAAGACACAGACACCAATGCATAGCTTCTGATTTAACAGAATTGTTTTTACAAGCATTTATTCTGCTTGGAAATTCAGATGTCAATCATAAGATTGTTACCAGGGCAACAAAATATTAAGTAAGACCACCAAATGGCACCAAGGTTTCTCCTTCAAAATAATGATTGCAATACTGGCAATAATTTCTAATGTCTTTGGACTCCTACAAGATTATTTTGTGCAAATTACACTTCAAAGCACAGATTTATGGAACCACAGAATGGAACACTGGCTGCTGTAATAAATATCCATAGATCTCCATACTACATAAGACTATAAAACACATTTAGAGCCTTTTTAATATTCTCAGTTTATTAACTTATCAATCCACATTCCATTTTTTTGTTTGTTTGTTTTGTTTTGTTTTTTTACTTTAAGTTCTAGGGTACATGTGCATAATGTACAGGTTTGATACATGTGCCATGTTGGTTTGCTCCACCCATCAAGTTATCATTTACATTAGGTATTTCTCCTAATGCTATCCCTCCCCCAGCCCCCCACCCCACTCTGTTTTTTTTTTTTTTGTTTTTTTTTTTTTAAGACAGGGTCTCACTGTGTCACCCAGGTTGGAGTGCAGTGGTGTGATCTCGACTCACTGCAACCTCTGCCTCTCGGGTTCAAGTGATTCTCTTGCCCCAGCCCTCCCAAGTACAAGGAATTACAGGGTTGTGCCACCACGCCGGGCTAATTTTTGTACTTTTAGTAGAGACAGTGTTTTGCCATGTTGGCCAGGGCTGGTCTCGAACTTCTGGGCCCAAGTGATCCGCCTGCCTCGACCTCCCAAAGTTCTGGGATTACAGGTGTGAACCACCATGCCTCGCCTAAACTACATTCTTGAATTAGTTTTATGGCACAGAATATCTTTTTCTCCTCTCTCAATGCCCTCTCTCTCTCTAGCTCCCTCTCCTCCCCTACAGCTGCAAAGAAGAGATCTTCTTAATCCATTTCTTAAACTTCTTTTGATCAATTATAAAGAATTTTTTTTTTTAGATGGAGTCTCACTCTGTCACCCAGGATGGAGTGCAATGGCACAATCTCAGCTCACTGCAACCTCTGCCTCCCGGGTTCAAGTGATTCTCCTGCCTCAGCCTCCCAAGTAGCTGGGACTACAGGCATGTGCCACTACGCCCGGCTACTTTTTTTTTTTTTTGTATTTTTAGTAGAGACGGGGTTTCACCATGTTAGCCAGGATGGTCTCGATCTCCTGACCTCATGATCCGCCCACCTCAGCCTTCCAAAGTGCTGGGACTACAGGCGTGTGCCACTACACCCGGCTACTTTTGTGTGTGTGTGTGTGTGTGTTTAGTAGAGACGGAGTTTCACCATGTTAGCCAAGATGGTCTCGATCTCCGGACCTTGTGATCCACCCGCCTCAGCCTCCCAAAGTGCTGGGATTACAGGTGTAAGCCACTGTGCCCGGCCAATTATAAATATTTTTTAAGGCTAAACTCTGGAATTTTGCTAGTTAGCCTTAAAAGCACAAAGCAGGCCTATAAAGTTCAATTTTACTGGTAGAAAGCAAGAAATGGATGAATAGGATGTTCGCTGACAACCATGCAATTGAAACCTCCTTTGCAAAAATTACGAGAGTGAGCAAACGATGGCAGTGAAGGAGATCGGATCTGGCCAGCCCCTACCTTGCCTTTGGCCCTCAAACTGCTTGTAGTTATTCCTGGGTTTAGGCTAATCTGACTTGTCTCTTTGGGAGACATTTATTTTATTTTCTTTTATATTTCCTTGAGACGGAGTCTCGCTCTGTAGCCCGGGCTGGAGTGCAGTGGTGAGATCTCGGTTCACCGCAACCTCTGCATCCTAGTTCAAGGGATTCTCCTGCCTCAGCCTCCAGAGTAGCTGGAATTACAGGTGCCTGCCACCATGCCCGATTAATTTTTGTATTTTTAGTAGAGACGAGGTTTCACCATGTTGGCCAGGCTGGTCTGAAACTCCTGACCTCAAGAGATCCGCCCGCCTTGGCCTCCCAAAGTGCTGGGATTAGAGGAAAGAAGGAAAGGAAGGAAAAGAAAGGAAAAGAGAGGAGAGGAGAGGGGAGGGGAGGGGAAGGGAGAGAAAGGAAAGGAAAGGGAGAGAAAGGGAAGAGAGAAAGAAAGAAGAAAAGAGAGAAAGAAAGAAAGAAAGAAAGAAAGAAAAATAAAGAAAGAAGAAAAAAGAAAAGAGAAAAGGAAGGAGGGAGGGAGGGAGGCAAGGAAGGAAGGAAGCAAGAAAGAGAGAAAGAGAGAAAAGAGGCTCCTTATAAATAACAAAAGACACCCTTCTCACCAAGGGTTTTTGGAAATTCCAGAGTGATGGGGTGAGAAGGGTGTCTTTGGAACCAAAGCTGAAGACCAAGTACATATTTCTTACTATATCACGGTATCACGGGAGGTAAAACGGAGGTGGCCTTGAAGCAGCTCCTCCCCAGCCCCCAATCCTCTTGTGTGCCCGGAGGATCAGAAGAGGTCCCGCCGAGACTCAGCTTAGCTGTGGTTCAAGCCTCTGATTGCGTGGATAAGTACCAGGTTTCCAGAGTGCCAGGGCGGGGCTGCCCCTTGCGGTGGCATTAACTTTCCATGGCTATTTAAAATCAGCAGAGGACACACGATCTTCAGATGGGTCCTGTTTTACTTCCATATTTTCTCCTAGAGAGAAGAAAAATCATTAAACTTTTTTTTGTTTGTTTTTTGTTTTTTTGTTTTATTCGTTGTTTTTTTTTTTTTTTTTTTTTTTTGAGACGGAGTCTCGCTCTGTGGCCCAGGCTGGAGTGCAATGGCGTGTATCAGCTCACTGCAACCTCTGCCTCCAGGGTTCAAGTGATTCTCCTGCCTCAGCCTCCCGAGTAGCTGGGATTACAGCTTTGTATTTTTAGTAGAGTCGGGGTTTCACTATATTGGCCAGGGTGGTCTCCAACTCCTGACCTCAGGTGATCTGCCTGCCTTGGCCTCCCAAAGTGCTGGGATTACAGGCGTGAACCACCGCACCTGGCCTACTGTATTTTTTTTTTTTTTTTTGAATAGAGAAGGGAGTCTCAAACTCTTGGCCTCAAGCCATCCTCCTGCCTCAGTTTCCCAAAATGCTGGGATTATGAGTGAGCCACTGCACCTATCCCACCCCCTCCCACCCTCATTTTTAGAAGGGCACAGGCTAGAGACCATATTTCCATCAGTCACTTTTGCGGCTAGACCTGTCCATGAGACTAAGTTCTAGCCAATGGGATGCGATAGGAAGATACATGCTCAAATTCTAGGTCCTGCTCTTAAAAAATAATTGTGTGGGCCGGGCGCAGTGGCTCACGCCTGTAATCCCAGTACTTTGGGAGGCTGAGGCAGGCGGATCACGAGGTCAGGAAATCGAGACCATCCTGGATAACACGGTGAAACCCCGTCTCTACTAAAAATACAAAAAAATTTAGCCGGGTGTGGTGGTGGACGCCTGTAGTCCCAGCTACTTGGGAGGCTGAGGCAGGAGAATGGCGTGAACCCGGGAGGCGGAGCTTGCAGTGAGCCGAGATCGCGCCACTGCACTCCAGCCTGGGCGACAGAGCAAGACTCCAACTCGGAAAAAAAAAAAAATAATAATTGTGTGAGCCCTTTTCTCTCTGTCCTCTCCTCTTTCTTGGGGCTCAGAACCAGAAATTAAAGCTACATGTTGATAAAAGCAAAACCATCCCACCTTAACAAGTAAATCGTTGAGATTGCCCAGTGATTTACTGTTAAGTGAGAGAGAGGTACATTTATATCTAGTTTTTTTCCGGTGGTGAAGGAGATTCTTTTTTTCTCTCTCTCTCTCTTTTTTATGAGATGGAGCTTGGCTCTTGTTGCCCAGGCTGGAGTGCAATGGCACGACCTCGGCTCAGTGAAACCTCCGCCTCCCGGGTTCAAGTGATTCTCCTGCCTCAGCCTCCCGAGTAGCTGGGATTACAGGCATGCACCACCACACCAGGCTAATTTTTTGTATTTAGTAGAGACAGGGTTTCACCATGTTAATCAGGCTGCTCTCGAACTCCTGACCTCAGGTGATCCACCTGCCTTGGCCTCCCAAAGTGCTAGGATTACAGGTGTGCGCCACTGCACCTGGCCGGGAGATTCTTTTTTACAACAGCTTAAAGTGCTCTGTAACCAATACACTATGCAGTGATTTGGTTAATACTTTGTGAGTTCCATGAGTGCAGGGTTTATGTCTGCTATTGCTCCCCACTGGACCGCCGGACTCTAGCACAATGCCATGCACGGTAGACATTGAATACATGAGTGATACGAGGATGAATGAGACTAGGGGAAATCAGTGGAAGCCCTAGGCCTGGCACAGTGACTCACTCCTGGAATCCCAGCACTTTGGGAGGCCAAGGAAGGAGGATGGCTTGAGGCCAGGCATTCAAGACCAGCCTGGACAACATGGTGAGATCCCATAGCTATAAAAAGTAAACAATTAGCCGGGCGCGGTGGCTCACGCCTGTAATTCCAGCACTTTGGGAGGCCGAGGGGGGTGGATCACGAGGTCAATAGATCGAGACCATCCTGGCCAACATGGTGAAACCCCATCTCTACTAAAAATACAAAAGTTAGCTGGGCATGGTGGTGGCACACGCCTGTAATCCCAGCGACTCGGGAGGGCGAGGCAGGAGAATCACTTGAACCCAAGAGGCGGAGGTTGCAGTGAGCCGAGATCGCGTCATTGCACTACAGCCTGGCAACAGAGCGAGACTCCATCTCAAAAAAAAAATAATAATAATAGTAATAATAAATTGGCCAGGCGTGGTGATGGCAGTGTTGTCATTGCTTTAAGAGGCAGGAACAGGGGGAAAAGACCCAGCAGTCTAACCACACAGACAAGTCCCAAGTTAGGCACTTCTGTGTGTCTTGGGGGCTGTTGATCAGAAATAACCTATGTGGATCACCCAGCAAAATGACCAGTATGAAAAGATGTTCAGTGGTAGAAAATGAAATAAGCATTGTGACTACAACTCACTCAATAAGCATTCATTGAACACTGGTCACTGGTAAACTGCTATGAAGAAATCTCAGCTGGGTGCGGTGGCTCACGCTTGTAATCCCAGCACTTTAAAGGGAGACCAAGGTGGGCAGATGGATCACTTTAGGTCAAGCGTTCGAGAACAGCCTGGCCAACATGGTGAAACCCCATCTCTACTAAAAACACAAAATTAGCCGGGCATGGTGGCAGGTGCCTGTAATCCCAGCTACTTGGGAGGCTGAGGCAGGAGAATCGTTTGAACCCGGGAGGTGGAGATTGTAGTGAGCTGAGATCACAACACTGCACTCCAACCTGGGAAACAGAGCAAGACTCCATCTCAAAAAGAAAAAAAATCTCAAGCTTATTGGATAGATAAATGCACAGGTAGATAGATGGATATTGAATGAATAAATAGTTCAGTGGATTAAAAACTGGTTAATGAAGAAATGGATGGGTAAATGGATGGAAATATGAATGAATGCATGATGGATAAGGACAAATGAAATAGACAAATGTACAAATGAAAGCAAAGGAAAAAGAGATGCTCAATAGAAATGAATAAGGATGAGAATCAATGCTAGACATGAATGAGTGAATGGTGAATGAAGGAGTGATTGAATGGATGAATACATGGAGTTAAGTTGAAGTACAAACTCGGCCAAGACTTCTTTTTCTCTGCTTTGGGTGGAAATACATTTTTAAAAAAAGAGGGCCGGGCACGGTGGCTCATGCCTGTAATCCCAGCACTTTGGGAGGCTGAGGCGGGCGGATCACCTGAGTTTGGGAGTTCGAGGCCAGCCTGACCAACACAGAGAAACCCTGTTTCTACTCAAAATACAAAATTAGCCAGGTGTGGTGGCTCACACCTGTAATCCCAGCTACTCGGGAGGCTGAGGCAGGAGAATCACTTGAACCTGGGAGGCGGAGGTTGTGGTGAGCCGAGATGGCGCCATTGCACTCCAGCCTGGGCAACAAGAGCGAAAGTCCACCTCAAAAAAAATAAAATAAAATAAAATAAAATAAAAAAAGAGGGAAAAAGGAAAAAAAAAGACTCCCTGATGTGCCACTGACTTCCTGTACATGTTTAGGTAAACTTAATATCACCTCTCTTTCCACCATTTTCCCATTTATAAAGTGGGAAGACTGGATTTGATGACATCACAGCCTCATCCAGGTCTGGTGCCTTCCTTATAACCTGCGTCTCTTCTTTATTCTTTTTTTTTTTTTTTTTTTTTTTGAGACGGAGTTTTGCTCTGTCACCCAGGCTGGAGTGTGCAGTGATGCAATCTCGGCTCACTACAACCTCCGCCTCCTGGGTTCAAGCAATTCTCCTGCCTCAGCCTCCCGAGTAGCTGGGATTACAGGCGCCCGCCACCACGCCCGGCTAATTTTTGTATTTTTAGTAGAGACGGGGTTTCACCATGTTGTCCAGGCTGGTCTCGAACTTCTGACTTCGTGATCCACCTGCCTCGGCCTCCCAAAGTGCTAGGATCACAGGTGTGAGCCAGCACCCCCGGCTTATTCCTTTTTTAAAATTGTTATTATTTCCCACAGCCACATATGCCGGGGAGGTTGTCCCACATATGTTCTACCAAGGCCCCTCTGGCACTGAGATCAAACCCCGGAAGACCCGCTCAGTCTCTCCTCCCGTCTTTTCAACACGTTAGCGCCCCCAGGTGGCTAATTAGACTTCAAAATTCAGTTCTTGAGGCGGGCGGATCACTTGAGGTCAGGAGTTCAAGACCAGTCTGGTCAACATGGTGAAACCCCGTCTCTACTAAAAATACAAACATTAGCCGGACATGGTGGTACGCACCTGTAATCCCAGCTATTCGGGAGGCCGAGGCAGGTGGATCACTTGAGGTCAGGAGTTCGAGACCACCTGGCCAATTTGGCAAAACTCCATCTCTACTAAAAATACAAAAATTAGCTGGGCGTGATAGCGCACACCTGTAATCCCAGCTACTCAGGAGACTGAGGCACGAGAATCACTTGAACCCGGGAGGCGGATGTTGCAGTGAACCGAGATCACGCCACTGCACTCCAGCCTGGGTGGAGTGAGATCTTCTCTCAAAAAAAAAAAAGAAAGAAAGAAAGAAAAAGTCGTGCTTGATTATGCTTGATGGCAAAAAGGTGAGACCTTCCTTTCGGCACTGAGTCTGGTAGAAATCGGTGTTACAGGGTAGCTAACATTTATTGAACACTTACTACGGGCCAGTTACTGCTTTAAATGTTTTATGTGTATTACCCACTGAATCCTACAACAATCCTATGAAGTGGGTTTTATCAGTGCATCCATTTTACCGTCAAGGCAAGAGAGAGTTGGGGAAGGGCGCTTTCTGAATGCTGCTACCGTGTCCAGAGTTGGTTCCTTCCTGTGGGTTTGTGGTCTCGCTGACTTTAAGAATGGAGCCAGGGACCTTCGTGGTGAGTGTTACAGCGCTTAAAGATGGCACGGACCTAAAGAGTTAGCAGCAGCAAGATTTATTGTGTAGAGCAAGAGAACAAAGCTCCCACAGCGTGGAAGCAGACTCTGGTGGGGTGCCGCGCTCGCCAGCTTTTATTCCCTTATTGTCCCCGCCCATGTCCTGCTGATTGGTCCATTTTACAGAGCGCTGATTGGTCCATCTTACAGAGTGCTGATTGGTCCATTTTACAATCCTCTTGTAAGACAGAAAAGTTCTCCAGGTCCCCATTCAACCCAGGAAGTCCAGCTGGCTTCACGTCTCACTACTACCTTTCTGTAGCTGCTACTACTACAGTGAGTAGACGGCAGTGCTGGGATTCGAACCCTCTGTCTTCTGGCTTGGAAGTCTTAACCACTAATCGCGTCTTCCTTTCAGCTACTCCTTGGGAAAGGCCTGGAAAGAAGCTACAGCACAGGGCACAGCGGGGTCTAAGGACCGTTCCGCGGAGCTCAGCCAGCAGGACTGTGGGGCTGCAGGAAAGGACAGTCCAGCCCAGGGTCCCAGCTTCTCCGCCACTCAGGTTGGAAGTCTCGGGCTGCAGTGCTCCTGGGGCTCAGGGGCGGATACCAGCAGGAGCGCGGTTCTGACTGCGCCAGTCAAAAGTGACCAGCGCGCCCAGGGAGATGAGGACCAGCCCGGCCAGCCCCAGGCGGACTAGGTTCCCCCGGGTGTAGTCGGAGGAGCCAGAGTCTGCGGGCGGAGCCGGGAGAGAGGGGCCATCAGCTCCCGGACCCCAAAGTCTGGGCCCTGAACTCCAGGTTTCCAGCCCCTGGGGTGGACTTAGGGACCTGACTCTACAGTCTCAAAGTTGAGGGGGAGTCGATGGAGGCTTCAACTCCTGGGTCCAGGAAGAAGGGGCTGGGGCCTGGACTGCTGGATCAGGAAGGAGGGGCTGGGGGCCTGGAGTCCTGGGTCCAGGAAGGAGGGGCTGGGGGCCTGGAGTCCTGGGTCTGAGGGAGGAGGTACTGGGGCCCGGGAATCCTGGGTCTGAGGGAGGAGGAGCTGGAGGACTAGACTCCTGGATCTGAGGGAGGAGGGGCTGGGTCCCAGGAATCCTGGGTCTGAGGGAGGAGGGGCTGCAGGACTAGACCCCTGGGTCTGAAGGAGGAGAGGCTGGGGGCCTGGGCTCCTGGGTCTGAGGGCGGAGGTCCTGGGGCCTGCATTCCTGGGGCGGAGGAGGCGGGCCGGGCCTCAGGGCCCTCACCTTCCCAGCTGATGACCAGCACCTCGCTGCGCTGCGACAGCACGTAGGGCGCGGAGGGCGTGTGATAGTAGCAGCTGTAGGTGCCGGGGGCGCGGGCGCCCAGCAGCGTGAAGTCGGCCCAGGGCTGCGCGGAGTGGCGGTACTGCAGCGGGGCCGCCACGCCCTCGCGGTACAGCACGAAGCTCATGTTCCGCAGGCGGCCCGCGCAGCGCAGGCTCACGTTGGCGCCAGGACCCACCACCGGCCCGGGCAGCGCCACCAGCGACGGCCGCGGCAGCTCCTCTGCAGAGACGGGGTGAGAGTCCGGGGCCGCGTGAGCGTCTTCCGCTCGCTCGCTCGCTCTGTTTCTCCTTCTCCTCTGTCTCTCGCTTTCTCTGTGCCTCTCTCTCTCTTTCTGCCTCTCTTTCTCTCTGCCTGTCTCTCTCTCTGTCTGCCTCTCTCTCTGCCTCCCTCTCTCTCTGCCTCCCTCTCTCTGCCTCCCTCTCTCTCTGCCTCCCTCTCTCTCTGCCTCCCTCTCTCTCTGCCTCCCTCTCTCTCTGCCTCCCTCTCTCTCTGCCTGCCTCTCTCTTTGCCTGCCTCTCTCTCTGCCTCCCTCTCTCTGCCTCCCTCTCTCTCTGCCTCCCTCTCTCTCTGCCTCCCTCTCTCTCTGCCTCCCTCTCTCTCTGCCTCCCTCTCTCTCTGCCTGCCTCTCTCTCTGCCTGCCTCTCTCTCTGCCTCCCTCTCTTTCTGCCTCCCTCTCTCTCTGCCTCCCTCTCTCTCTGCCTCCCTTTCTCCTTCTGCCTCTTTCTCTCTCTCTCCCCCCGCACTGTACCTCTCTCTCTCTCTGCTCCCCTGTCTCTCTCTCTCTGCTCCCCTGTCTCTCTCTCTCCCCCTAGTGTCTCTGTATCTGTCTTTTCTTGTGTCTGTGAATCTGTTTGCCCGCCTCGCTCTGTCTCTCTTTCCCTATATCTCTCTGTCCCTCCCCCAACTCCCTTGTTCCACCCACTTCTCCTCCCCGACCCCAGGACCTCACCTGTCACCAGCAGCTCCAGGACATCGCTGGGCTGGGACCAGACACCCGGCCCCCAGTCTGGCCTTCGGTAGCAGCAGCGGTAAATTCCCCCTTGGGCTGGAGTCACCTCCTCCAGAAAGAATTCTGCCAGCTCGGAGGACACATCCCGGAAGAGAAGGGGAGCGATCTCTCCAGGCTTGAAAAGTCCAAATCTCCAAGCGGGTTGGGGTGCCCGGCATCTCAAGGTCACGTTGACCCCAGGGGTCACAACTGTAGCCGGCTGAGCTCCCAGCCATGGCTTAGGGTGGTATGAAGCTGGGGGGACTGAATAAACGGGGCTGCCTGGGTCCTCGGGCCTCCTGGGAGCCCCAGAAGATGAAAGGGAAGTTGGGGAAGGAGGAAAATCACCTTGGACAATTACTGCCCCTTTCTTAGCCTCAGTTTCCTGTTTGTAAAATCAGGGAGAGACTGGACTACAATCAAGCCTTGTTAAAACCAGGTGCAAATCAGAGGGGCAGGACAGAAACTTCTGAGCTTTACTCCACAGTTTGTAAACACAGTTTCAAAAGGTCAGGTCCCAGAACTCTGTAATTTTATTATTATTATTATTTTTAAGTAATGAGATGGGAGGGGGCGGTCTCCCTATGTTGAGCAGGTTGGTCTTAAACTACTGGCCTCAAGCAATCCTCCCACCTCGGCCTCCCAAAGTGCTAAGTTTACAAGCTTGTGCCACCACACCCAGACTTTTTTTTTTTTTTTTTTTTTTTTTGAGGCAGGGTCTTGCTGTGTTGCTCAGGCAGGAGTGCAGTGGCATGTTCTCAACTCACTGCAGCCTCAATCTCTTGGGCTCAAACAGTCCTCCACCTCAGCCTCCTGAGTACCTGGGACCACAGGCACATGCCACTACACCAGGCTAATTTTTTTTTTTTAATTTTTAGTAGAGACGAGCATTCGCTATATTGCCCAGGCTACTCTTGAACTCTTGGGCTCGAGCAATCCTCCCACCTCGGCCTCCCAAAGTGCTGGGATTACAGGTGTGAGCCACCACGCCCAGCCAGAACTCTAATTTTAAATAGCTTTCCAGAATATTTGCAATATAGTATTTCAAGAGTTGCCAAAACTTGCTATTTGGAAAAGAAAAATGTTGGATCCCTACCTCATACCATTTCCCAAAACAACTTCCAGATTAATTAAAGACCCTGTGTTTCTTTTTTTTTAAACTATAAAAGTATTCAAAAAACTATAGGAAAATATATTTGTCTTGGGGTAAGGAAGGCTTCTTAAAATATAAAATAAAAAGTTGTATGGAAGATTAATTAATTTGACCACTTCAAATTTCTTAAGTTGTGTATGCTAAAAGACAAAACTGGAGGACAAATGATAGTACTGGCAGATATCACTTATTCACAAATCACACAAATTAAGAGTACAGGAAGGCTGTTGGGTCCGGTGGCTCACAGCTGTAATCCCAGCACTTTGGGAGGCCAAGGTGGGTGCATCACCTGAGGTCAGGAGTTCAAGACCAGCCTGACCAACATGGTAAAATCCCATCTCTACTAAAAACAGAAAAATTAGCCAGGCGTGGTAGTGCTAGCTTGTAGTTCCAGCTGTTTGGGATGCTGAGTAGGAGAATTACTTGAACCCTAGAGTCGGAGGCTGCAGTTAGCTGAGATCATGCCACTGCACTCCAGCCTGGGCAACAGAGTGAGAACTCCATGGTGGCATGCACTTTGGGAGGCTGAGGCTGGAGGATTGTCTGAGCCCAGGAATTCAAAGCTGCAGTGAGCTATGATAGAGCCACCGTACTCCAGCCCGGGTGACACAATGAGACCCCATCTCTAAAAATGAATAAAAATAAGGGTCGGGTGAGGGGGCTCATGTTTGTAATCCCAACACTTTGGGAGGCTGAGGCAGAGGGATCACCTGAGGTCAGGAGTTCCAGACCAGCCTGACCAACATGGGGAAACCCTGTCTCTACTAAAAATACAAAAATTATCCGGGCATTGTGGTGTGTGCCTGTAGTCCCAGCTACTCAGGAGGCTGAGGCAGGAGAATCCCTTGAACCCAGGAGGTGGTTGCAGTGAGCCGAGATTGCACCACTGCACTCCGGCCTGGGCGACAGAGAGAAACTGGTCTCAAAATAAATAAATAAATAAATAAAATAAATAGGTAGAGATAGCTATAGCGACACTGAAATATCTCCAAAAGAGTTTTTGTTTGTTTGTTTGTTTGTTTGTTTTTGAAGTGGAGTCTTGCACTGTCACCCAGGCTGGAGTGCAGTGGCGCGATCTCAGCTTACTGCAACCTCTGCCTCCTGGGTTCAAGCGATTCTCTTGCCTCAGCCTCCTGAGTAGCTGGGATTACAGGTGCGTCCCACCACACCCGGCTAATTTTTTTTTTTTTTTTTTTTTTTTTTTAGTAGAGACGGGGTTTCACCACATTAGCCAGGATGATCTCGATCTGACCTTGTGATCCGCCCGCCTCTGCCTCCCAAAGTGCTGGGATTACAGACGTTGGCCATTGCGCCCAGCCCAAGATCCTATTTCTTAAGCCCTGTACTGTGCCAGGCTCAGGGTTTTGCACATGTGATTTGATGAGATCTCACAGCGGCCCATTTTACAGAGAAGGAAATGGAGTCTTAGCAAGCTGTGACTTGTTCTAGGTCATATGGTCACATATAAATGAATACGATGGTGAAACTGAGGTCCTAGCTTAGGCCTCTGCCTCAGAAGTTCCTGGTCTTCAGTACTCACCTATAATGGCCACTAAGGGGAATGAGAAAAGAAGGAAGGAATGGAGGGAGGGAGGAAAATAAGGATATCTGGGATGGGATTGGGCACCAAAATAAAATCTGAGTAATTGGAAAAGGGGTGTCAGCAACAAAAGGAGAGTGGATGGGGTGGCTACTCACCAGACGGAGTGATGTCTGTGTGACACAGAGGCCCTGTAGGAGGTTGAGGGACTAGTTTCTTTTTCCTTTTTTTTTTTTTGTCTGAGGCAGACTCTCACTCTGTCGCCCAGGCTGGAGTGTAGTGGTGTGATCTCAGCTCACTGCAACCTCTGCCTCCCAGGTTCAAGTGATTCTCCTGCCTCAGCCTCCGTAGTAGCTGGGACTACAAGTGCCCGCCACCACACCAGGCTAATCTTTGTATTTTTAGTAGAGAGGGGTTTCGCCATGTTGGTCAGGCTGGTCTTGAACTCCTGTCCTCAGGTGATCCACCCGCCTCGGCCTCCCAAAGTGCTGGGCCTCGGCTCCCACAGGCATGAGCCGCTGCGCCCAACAGCGAGTTCTTTTCAAAACCCTTTGTGGCCAGCCCCATCTCATTGGTAACCCAGGAATCTGAGTTCCCAGCTCCTATCTCCTCTGGGAAATGAGAATCTTATCCCTCCCTCCTCCTGTCTCAGTAGGCAGAAATTTGGACATCCATTGCCCACCTACCGAAGAAGTCTGAACGCAGACCCCTCTGGCCTGGGCAACCAAGAGTTCAGGCCCTTGAACTCCACCTTTCCAGGGAACAATGATCGTAGAGTTTCTCCTCTCACGAGTTCAGGAATCTGGGTCCCCATTTCCCTCTTCTCTCAGGAGCTAAGAGCCCTGTTCCCAGCCCCCTTTTCCCAGGGAATCAGGAGTCCTGGCTTCCATCCCCCTCCCATATAAGAATCTGGGAGTCCTCCCTGTCTCCTGACCTCTTCCTGCCTCAAGAACCAGAGATACCTGTCCCCACCTCCTTCCTCTTTCGGGAATCTGTGTTCTCTTGCTTTAGGACCCAGGGGTCTGGGCCCCAGCCCTGTTCTTTATTTGAACCTAGAATCCCAAACCTGCTGCCTGGTCCCCCTGCAGGGTGTCTGGGTCTCCATTGCCTCTCTCTCTGCCCCCAACCCCAGCCAGGAACCCAGGGAGAAGAAAGGGGTGACTCACAGAGGGTCAGCAGCTGGAGGATCAGCACCAGGGCCATGGTGGGCAGATACCCGCTAGAGCTGGAGCCAGGGCTTGGTCGCACCCTCTCCCCTCCCAGGAAATGAGGCAACATCAGAAAACCAGACCCAGATCCTCATTTACGGAAGAGAGTATCGAGGTGGGGGCCTGTGGGTGACTGTGTCATAGCCCTATGGCACTGTGGAAAAATTAGCAGGGGGTTCAGTCATAACCTGTGGTGTTCATTTATTTAACTCTAGAAACAAATACTAGTCAGGAGGTGGAGGCAGGAGGATCGCTTGAGCCCAAGAGTTCAAGAGCAGCCTGGGCAACAGAGCGAGACCCTGTCTAAAAAATAAATAAATTGTGCCACTGCACTCCAGCCTGGGTGATAGAGTGAGACCATGTCTTTAAATATAGATAGACAGATAGAAAGATATCTGTCTGTTTTAAAAATAAGAACCTATTATGTGCCAGACTCTTGCTGTCATTGATTGACAGATAGATAAAAATTTGCACCTATTATGTGCCAGGCCCTTGCTGTGATTGAAAGATAGATAGATGGATGGATGGATAGATAGATAGATAGATAGATAGATAGATAAAAATTAGCACCTGTTAAGTGCCAGGCCCTTGCTGTGATTGATTGATGGATAGATAAAAATTAACACCAATTATGTGCCAGGCCCTTGCTGTGATTAATTGATCGATTGATAGATTGGTTGACAGAGAAAAATTAGCACCTATTATGTGCCAGGCTCTTGGTGTGATACTGTGTTAGATAGATAGATAGATAGATAGATAGATAGATAGATAGATAAAAATTAGCCCCTCTAGGCCGGGCGCGGTTGTTCACGCCTGTAATCCCAGCACTTTGGGAGGCCAAGGCGGGTGGATCACCTGAGATCGGGAAGTTCGAGACCAGCCTGACCAACATGGAGAAACCCCCGTCTCTCCTAAAAAAGAAAAATTAGCCGGCTGTGGAGGCGCGCGCCTGTAATCCCAGCTATTCAGGAGGCTGAGGCAGGAGAATCGCTTGAACTCGGGAGTCGGAGGTTGCTGTGAGCCGAGATCGCGCCATTGCACTCCAGCCTGGGCGACAGAGCTAGACTCAATCTCAGAAGAAAAAAAAAAAAATTAGAACCTATTACGTGCCAGACCCTCGCTGTGCCATGTTGGCAGGCACAGAGGGAACTCAGACTCCGTTACTGCTCTCAAGCAGCAGCTACCAGTCCGACTGAAAGACCAAGACCAGGTCAGTTTCCTTTTTTTTTGAGACGGAGTCTCGCTCTGTCGCCCAGGCTGGAGTGCAGTGGTGTGATCTCGGCTCACTGCAAGCTCCGCCTCCCGGGTTCACGCCATTCTCCTGCCTTAGCCTCCCCAGTAGCTGGGACTACGGGCGCCCACCACCACGCCCGGCTAATTTGTGTTGTATTTTTAAGTAGAGACAGGGTTTCACCATGTTAGCCAGGATGGTCTAGATCTCCTGACCTCGTGATCCGCCCGCCTCGGCCTCCCAAAGTGCTGGGATTACAGGCGTGAGCCACCGCGCCCGGCCCAGACCAGGTCAGTTTCTTAAGTGATCTGAGCTATAATGGCGGTAACAGAGCACTGTGAGAGCCCGCAGAAAGCTCCTAACCCATCTGGGATGAGACCTAGCGCTTCCAGGACGAGCCGATGTTGAGCTGAGACCTCGAAGGACAGGTTAGTCATTCACCTTCTCCCGGGCTCAGTTTCTTCGTCTGTAAAATGGGCTTTCATACATAAACTATAAAATGGGGACTATTTTGTTCCGCCTTAGGTGGGTCGCAGCAGGAGGACTAGTCACTCCGGAGCGACTTCTAGGCTGAGACTAAGGAGATTCCACGCAGGTCCGCAAAGTCAGGCTTGCGCTTGCTCCTGACACCACTTCCTTTACCTCCACGGCTCCATCTTTGTTCTGCGCGAGTGCGCACGCGCAGGCTCCGAAAGCGGGCCGTCGCACAGAGGGACCACAACTCCCAGAGTGCTCCGCGTCCTTGCTTTCGCCTCTACTTGTGCTCCAGGGCGCACGCGCAGCCCTGGGAGCGGGTTCTCGCGCATAGGGACCACAACTCCCAGGGTGCTCCGCGTCCTCGCCGCTGTCGCCGCCGCGGAGACAAAGATGGCTGCGAGTAAGTGCAGGTTCCGGTGGCGCACGGGGCTCGGGTAGTTCTGGGAACCTCTGGGCGGTCCTGGGACTGAGGTGCGGCAGGGCAGGGGTGGAAGCGATGGGGTCCGTGCTGGAGGGGAACGCAGAAGTCACGAGGGGGCTCCTCCAGGGCAGGGGTGGCACGAGAGGGTTAGAGGTCACCGGGGGCAGCTACTTGCAGGGGTGACGCTTCTTGCCACCCCTTCAGGAGTCGGCGCCTTCCTCAAGAATGCCTGGGACAAGGAGCCAGTGCTGGTCGTGTCCTTCGTCGTCGGGGGCCTCGGTGCGTGAGTGCTCCAGGCGCAAACTTGCATCGTCCACCCCCGTCCCCCTACATCCCTCCATCTTGTACCCCTAAAGCCCTATCGCCGCCCTCGGGTCCCCTCTAGTGTGTCTGCACCCCCACGGCATCCCCTTATCTATCCCCATACCCATTATAACCTCTCCACCATCGCCCCCCGCGTTCCTCTCCACCTACCCAATACGCTCTTAACCCCTCTAAATGAGACGTTCTCAACCCTGCTTATGCCTTAACACCTGAGCACCAAAAAAAAGTCCAGATCCTCCTCCTCCTTTTCATCTTTCCTCTCCCCCATTCTGAATTGAGTTGGCTTGGGTGGAGGTGGGACTGGGGAATCTGTGTCTTGTGAAAATCCCCGTATGATCCCAATGTGCCTTGCTGATTGAAAATCTCTGCCCTCTGCCCTGGAACTGCCCTACTCACACTTTAATTAGCACCGGAGTTCCTGCAGGGATGGGGGCGGGGGATTGTTAAAATGTAGCTTTTTTTTTTGCGATGGAGTCTCACTCTCACCCAGGCTGAAGTGCAGTGGCGCGATCCCGGCTCACTGCAACCTCGGCCTCCTGGGTTCAAGGGATTCTCCTGCCTCAGCCTCCCGAGTAGCTGGGATTACAGGCGCCCAGCTAATTTTTTGTTTTTGTTTTTGAGACTGAGTCTCGCTCTGTCGCCCAGGCTGGAGTGCAGTGGCGCGATCTCGGTTCAGTGCAAGCCCCGCCTTCCGGGTTCACGCCATTCTCCTGCCTCAGCCTCCCGAGTAGCTGGGACTACAGGCGCCCGCCCCCATGCCCGGCTAATTTTTTGTATGTTCAATAGAGACGGGGTTTCACCGTGTTAGCCAGGATGGTCTCGATCTCCTAACCTCGTGATCCTCCCAACTCGGTCTCCCAAAGTGCTGGGATTACAGGCGTGAGCCACCGCGCCCGGCCAGCTTTTTTTTTTTTTTTTTTTTGAGATGGCGTCTCGCTCTGTCTTCCAGGCTACAGTGCAATGGTTTGATCATGGCTCACTGCAACCTCCGCCTCTAGGGTTCAAGTGATTCTCCTGCCTCCGCCTCCCAAGTAGCTGGGATTACAGGCGAGCACCACCACGCCCGGCTAATTTTTGTATTTTTAGTAGAGACAAGGTTTCACCATGTTGGCCAGGCTGGTCTTGAACTCCTGACCGCAAGTGATCTGCCTTCCCAAAGTGCTGGGATTACAGGGGTGAGCCACTGCGCCCGGCCAAACTGTAGGTTCTGATTCTGTAGGTCTGGGGTGGGGCATGGGATTCTGCATTTTTGAAGAGTTCCCAGGTCTTGTCAGTACTGCTGGTCCACCAGCCAGGCACTAGGTTAAGGTTCTGAACACTTATTCAGTATGGCAGCCACCAGCCACAACTGGCCACTGAGCATTTGAAGTGGTGCTGGTATGAATTGAGGTGGTATAAGACACTGGATTTCAAAAACTTAGTATAACAGAGTGTGTAAACTACCAATAATCTTTTGTTGATTACATGGCGAAGTGATGTTTTGGATGTACTATGGTTTTTTTTGTTTGTTTGTTTTTGTTTTTTTGAGACGGAGTTTCGCTTTTGTCCAGGCTAGAGTGCAATGGCCTGATCTCGGCTCACTGCAACCTCCGCCTCCCGGGTTCAAGCGATTCTCCTGTCTCAGCCTCCTTAGTAGCTGGGATTACAGGCGCATGCCACTACACCTGGCTGTTTTTGTATTTTCAGTAGAGACGGGGTTTCATCATATTGGTCAGGCTGGTCTCGAACTCCTGACCTCAGGTGATCCACCCGTCTCAGCCTCCTAAAGTCCTGGGATTATAGGCATGAGCCACCTCGCCCATCCAAGTATGTTTCTTAAAATTTGTTTCATCTGTATCTCTTATTTTTACTGTAGCTACTAGAAGATATAAAATTATATACCTGGCTCTTACCATCTGTCAGACAGCACTGGCCTAGAACATTCCTTTTATGAACTGTACCCCATCCCCCAGGACTCCTGGCTCCCACCCTAAATGGACTGTGGTCAGTGACTGTTGTTTGTGCAACCCTTTCTCCTCCAGTTTGTAAGGCTTTTTTTTTTTTTTTTTTTTGGTGATGGAGTCTCTCTCTGTTGCCCAGGCTGGAGTGCAATGGCACAATCTGGGCTCACTGCAACCTCTGCCTCCCAGGCTCAAGGGATTCTTCTGCCTCAGCCTCCTGAGTAGCTGGGATTACAGGCTCCTGCCACCACGCCCGGCTAATTTTCGTATCTTTAGTAGAGATGGGGTTTCATCATGTTGTCCAGGCTGGTCGCGAACTCCTGACCTCAGGTGATCCGCCCACATTGGCCGCCCAAAGTGCTGGGATTACAGGCTTGAGCCACTGTGCCCGGCCAAATTTGTAACAGTCTTGATTTCTCCAGAACAGTCCCATGACACTACCCCCAGGATGCTCCATGATGACCCTACACTCAAACGTGCTCATTCCATGACCAACCCCACTGCTGCCTCCTCCAGGCCCCACGTATCTGTGAGTGTTAGGCTCCAACCCCTACCTCCACTTAACCCCCCAAAAAAGAGTTTTAAACCCTCCTGTCTATAAGTAGGGATCCCAAGGTACCAAGGATCCTCCTGGACGTGCTGGCCCTCCCTGCTGCCCTCCCCCTGCGCACTTTATCTTCCCTTTGCCAAGGCTCACCTTCTCTTCCCCTCTCTTCAGAGCCACCTTCCCCTGGGCCTCACCCCTGTGTCTCTCCACAGCTGTAATTCTGCCCCCATTGAGCCCCTACTTCAAGTACTCCGTCATGATCAACAAGGCCACGCCCTACAACTACCCAGGTGAGTGGGGGCCAGGCAGGGATCCCCGGAATAGGCCCAGCCTCCCTGTGCTGGCGTAAGGGCAGTTATGGGCAGGTCTTTCCTAAGCAGTTATCAGAGATTCTGCAGTGGTGCCCGGACCCCCCGTTCCATTTTTTAAGAATTGAGATATAATTCGTATACTATTCTGTGTTTGTGCTTCGTTTTTGTTTTTTTGGGTTTTTTTGAGACAGAGTCTCGCTCTGTCGCCAAGGCTGGAGTGCAGTGGCGCGATCTCAGCTCACTGCAAGCTCAGCCTCCCGAGTAGCTGGGACTACAGGTGCCCGCCACCACGACACGCAAACTTTTTCGTATTTTTTTAGTAGAGGCGGGGTTTCACCGTGTTAGCCAGGATTGTCTCGATCTCCTGACCTTGTGATCCACTCACCTCGGCCTCCCAAAGTGCTGGGATTACAGGTGTGAGCCACCGCGCCTGGCCTGTGCTTCGAGTTTCTATTACCTTTCCAGATTTCTGTCTCTCTCTGGGTTCCCATCTGTGGTGGTTTCTTGGTCTCCATCTTCTCAGGTTTCTGTCCTGTTTCCCCATCTCTTTTGACCCTAGCTCTCTAGTGCGCGGGATCTCTCCCTCGCTATCTCTCTGGTTTTCCGTGTCTCTCAGTCTCTGTATTTCCCGCCTCTTTCTGCATCACTGATTCTCTGACCCTTCCCCTCTCACCCCTGGGGTCCCCCTTCCCTCTCTGAACATAAAGCGACAGACCAGCTCTTCTCTCCAGGGCCCTGGAGACGTGCTGGTCTCAGTGGCCCACCTCCTGCCCCACAGTGCCCGTCCGTGATGATGGGAACATGCCCGACGTGCCCAGCCACCCCCAGGACCCTCAGGGCCCCAGCCTGGAGTGGCTGAAGAAACTGTGAGCACCTCCACTGACAGAGGCGGCCCCTCCCACGGCTCCCAATAAAAATGTGAAAACCAACCCCCGAACGTGAGCATGTGTGTGATCAGAGGTGGGAACAAGTAGACGGTGGCCGGGGTGAGTGTGGGGTCAGTTTATTGGGCATGCGTCAGTCAGAGGCTGGGCTGGCCAGGGTCGGGTAGGGCAGCAGTTTGTCTGGACCCCGAGAAACCCAACTGGAATCCAGGGCCTCATCTGCTTCAAAGCCAAAGTCTTCCTCAACCTTAATCTGCAGGAGATAAGGAACAAGGTGTTAACAGGCCTGGGAATCTAGAAAATCCCATCAGCTTCACCATTTTTGTTTTCATTTTGTTTTGCTTTTTAAAGAGACAGGGTCTCACTCTGTTGCCCAGGCTGGAGTGCAGTGGTGCCATCATAGTTCACTGCAGCCTCTGCCTCCCAGGCTCAAGTGATCCTCCCACCTCAGCTTCCCAAGTAGCTGGGACTACAGGCACTTGCCAACCAAGCCTAACATGTTTTTTCTTTTTGGTAGAGATGGGGTCTCAGTATGTTGCTCAGGCAGGTCTCAGACTCCTGGCCTCAAGTGATCCTCCCACCTAGGCCTCCCAAAGTGCCGGGATTACAGGCATGAGCCACTGCACCTGGCCAGCCTCACAGTTCTTGTCTGCCCAGGCCAGTCACCTTCCTCCTTACACCTCAGAGGCAATCCCAGTGTTCCTGGGTCCAGATGTTCTTCCAGCTTTCCTCCCCACACTGGGCCTTCCCTTCCACTCCGTCTTCTCTGATCCTTCCTTCTCCTCTACTCCCAGCCTTCTCTAGCTATTTTTCCTTCTCCAGGTCTTCCTCTTTCCCTTTCCAACTTTGCCTCCTTTTTACCCAAGCCTTTACCCCACTTTTTCCAACTACTTCCCTGCCTGATCCTAGGCCTCCAACATGTCCTGGTTCACCTCCCTTCTCCAACTTTCCCCAGCCCTGGGCCCCTCGGGGTGCAGAACCAAAACCCAAGAGCCCTGAACCTAACTCAGCCCCAGCCCTGGCCCCTCCCCTTGAGTCCCCCCTCCTTACCTGCACTGGCGCCGGCTCTGGAGCCCCAGTCCCTCCCCTTGAGTTCCCGCCTTCCTCACCTGCACCGGGGCCAGCTCTGGAGTCAGCGCATTTCCTGCTCGGCGTCCATCCCGTGGCACTCGCCGCCTCTTCCGCCCACTGGGCCCCTCACCGGGGGCTGGGCTGCCGGGTTCTGGGGGTGCAGGAGTCCTTCTGGGCGGGGACAGTGTCTCTTTCTCTGGAGGCTCATTCTCCGCATTGCCTGGGGTGGGGGCATCCGTGCCCTGGCTGCCCTCATCCTGGCAGGCAGGAGGGGGAGGTAGGTGATGGGTGGGTCCTGAGCTCCCAGTTCCTGACCCTCCTGGAGGCCCAACACTCACCTCCAGCACAATGGTGAACTGGCTGGCCCGGTAGTCATCCCCGTAGGAGTCCAGCACTCTCATGAGGAACCTGCTCAGGGGGAGAAGCCACCAACGGAATAACTTATCTCCTAGCGGCTGGGGAAAAGGGCCACAGGATAGAGCTCAGCTCCCACTCCACTCAACGCCAAAGCTGTCCTGGAGCCAGACGGTCCTGAGCTCTGGCACTGGAGGCCTGGGAGCCATGCCCTTGACCAGCCTTGAGACCTCGAGCAAGACAAGGCAACCATTCTGAGGCTGAGTTTCCTGCTCTGCAAACGACATGACACCCTCGGCTGGATGTTGCAGCGGTGACACTGAAGTAGTGACACCAGACGATTTCTGTACTTAATGTGATGTCAGCACTTAGTAAACATTCATATGTGAGTTATAATTTTTATTGATAACTGAAGAGAGGGGAGTACAGAACGCTCCTCCTAATGACCTCACCTCTTATAAACACCCCCTTCTCTTTTTTCCCCAGCCCCTGCCTCCAGAGTTCCTTAAGGTTCAATTGATGGAATGCCTCCTCTGCACCAGCACCTGGGCAGGTTTGTTGTTGTTGTTTTGCGACGGAATCTCACTCTGTCACCCAGGCTGGAGTGCAGTGGCGTGAATTTGGCTCACCACAACCTCCACCTCCCTGGTACCAGCGATTCTCCTGCCTCAGCCTCCCGAGTAGCTGGGACTACAGGCGCCTGCCACTACACCCGGCTAATTTTTTTGTATTTTTAGTAGAGACGGAGTTTCACCGTGTTAGCCAGGATGGTCCCGATCTCCTGACCTCGTGATCCGCCTGCCTCGGCCTCCCAAAGTGCTGGGATTACAGGCATGATGAGCCACTGCGCCCGGCCTATTTCAACTTAAGTGAAAATCTCACCTGTGGCCAGCGGCTACCGTGCTGGACAGCACAGGTACGGACAGAGGAACCCTGGGAGCCGCAGGTTTCAGCTTTGGGGAGGGAGGATGAACTAGCAAAGGCAGCCAAGAAGGAACAGCCGGAAAGGCAGGAGACCCCAGGTTGCTGGGTGCCCAGGATGGCAAGAATGGGCTCCAGGGAAGAGCACATAGCCCTGGGCCACTGTGCCGAGCCTGAGCCAAGGACTGAGATGAGAACTGTGGTTGACTCAGCAACGTGGAGCCATTCCTACAAAACTTGCTCCAGTTTTGCTGGTACAGGGACACTGCGAGTGGCAGGGGCAGCAGCCACCTGGGCAGGTTCTGTGGAGACACACAGTGGGAAGCTCTGAGCTCAGCTCACCACCTGCAAGCTCCGACAACCCTGCCGCAGCCTCATGATATTGGTGCTGCCCTTAGTTGATAGGAAACAGCTCAGAGAAGGGACACTGCTTGCTTAGAGTCACACAGCAAAAAAAAAAGAAAATACTTGCAGTCAGGTCTGTGCTCGTGTGCCTTCCATCCTGCTGTTCCCTCCCTTCAGGGGGAGGAGGCCCTCCACCCGGCCCTCCCTCAGTCCCAGTGCTCAGCCCTCTCCACCCGGCCCTCCCTCAGTCCCAGCGCACAGCCCCTTCCACCCGGCCCTCCCTCAGTCCCAGTGCTCAGCCCTCTCCACCCGGCCCTCCCTCAGTCCCAGTGCTCAGCCCTCTCCTCCAACACCGAATCCCACTCTTCCTCCTTGTTTGCCTCAGCCCCCGGCCCTCATCTCCGGCTTCTCCTTGTGGCTTGTGAGGGTTGGGTGGATGTGGAAGTGGGAGAGACAGAGGGGCTGGGAGCATTTGGGAGCTGAGGCTCACAGGCCCAGAGGGGACGGAGAAGGGGTTACCTCCGTTCCTGCTGCAGCCTCCGAGTTATCCTCTGCACCTGATGGAGCCTGTTCAGGACCCGCTCGTTCACCTATGGGGTGGGAAACGCCCATCAGCTGGATCCCACGGCTCCCGTTCATTTGTTTAACGGATGTTTAATGGGGCACGCACTAAACTCTGGAGACTGGCCAAAGACCATCCCGTGGCCTGAGGTCCTTCCACCTTCCCATCCCTCCGGCTCCCCTCTCACCATGCCACAGTCCTGAGTGCCCTCCAGTGGGGGCCTTCCGCGTGCTGTTCCTCTACCTGGACCCTCTCCCCAGTCATCCGCACAACTTACTCCCCACTCCAAGTCTTAGGTCAACTGTTACCTGCTCAGAGAGCCTGAACCTCCCATTAAGTCGAAACACACCAGGCCAGGTGCGGTGGCTCACGCCTGTAATCCCAGCACTTTGGGAGGCCGAGGCGAGTAGGTCCCCTGAGGTCAGGAGTTCGAGACCAGCCTGGCCAACATGATGAAACCCCATCTCTACTAAAAATACAAAAAATTAGCTGGGCGTGGTGGCAGGTGCCTGCAGGATAGTCGCACGAACCTGGGAGGTGGAGGGGTGAAGTGAGTTGAGATCACCCCACTGCACTCCAGCCTGGGCAACAGAGCGAGGTTCTGTTTCAAAAAAAAAAATTGCAACACACCCGACCCCCCTTCCCATGCCAGAACCCCACCCGGCCATTCACTCCTGGCTTTATTTCCTCCTAGTGCTCATCTGAGGAGGCAGGACGCAGCCTCTCCGCCTCTTTGCTTATTCTGCTGACTGACCGCCTCTCCAGCCAGAGCATGAGCTGAAAAACGACAGCAACTTGTTTCTACATCCCGTGCCTTAACCAGAGCCTGGCACGTAGTACATCCTCCATGAACATTTGCAGAATCAATGACTTTGCAAAGTGAGAAGTGCTTGGTGAATACCAAAGAGTCAGACATGCTGGAGGTTAGGGCAGGAGGTGCGACTTTAGTTACGACCTGCAGAGAAGGCCCGTGGGCCCAGACTTGAATAAGGAGGAGACAAAGGGGTGACAGGAGGAAAGTATGCCAGGCTGAGGGGACAGCCCTGCACGCAGCTTCTGAGGACTCCAGCCTAGACATGGAGGGAGAGATGTGACTCAGCCAAACAGGGACCCAAAGACAGTGGCTGAAGCAGGTGCTGCTCCTGGGTCAGAAAGACCTGAGTTCCGGGCGGGGCACAGTGGCTCACGCCTGTAATCCCAGCACTTTGGGAGGCCGGGGCGGGCAGATCACTTGAGGTCAGGAGTTCAAGACCAGCCTGGCCAACATGGTGAAACCCCGTCTCTACTAAAGATACAAAAATTGGCCGGATGTTGTGGCACATGCCTGTAATCTCAGCTACTCAAGAGTTTGAGGTCGGGAGTTCCAGACCAGCCCGGCCAACATGATGAGACCTCATCTCTACTAAAAAAAAAAAAAAAAAAAGAAAAATACAAAAATTAGCTGGGTATGGTGGCGCATGCCTGTAATCCCAGTTTCTCAGGAGGCTGAGGCAGGAGAATCGCTTGAACCCAGGAGCTGGAGGTTGCAGTGAGCCGAGATCACACCACTGCCCTCCAGCCTGGGTGACAGAGTAAGACTCTGTCTCAAAAGAAAAAAAAAAAAAAAAGTGCCAGGCACGGTGGCTCACGCTTGTAATCCCAGCACTTTCAGAGGCCAAGGCGAGCGGATCACCTGAGGTCAGGAGTTTGAGACCAGCCTAACGTGGTGAAACCCTGTCTCTACTAAAAATACAAAATTAGCCAGGTGTAGTGGCGCATGCCTGTAATCCCAGCTACTCGGGAGGCTGAGGCAGGAGAATCGCTTGAACCCAGGAGGCGGAGGTTGCAGTGAGCTGAGATTGCAGCATTGCACTCCAGCCTGGACAACAAGAGCGAAAATCCATCTAAAAAAAAAGAGTTCAAGTTTTGGCTCTGGCTTGGCACAGTGGCTCATGCCTATAATCCCAGCACTTTGAGAGGCCAGGAGTTCGACACCAGCCTGGGCAACAGAGTGAGACCCCAACACTCAAAAACTAACCAAAAAAATTAGCTGGGCTTGGTGGCTGTAGTCCCAGCTCCTTCGGAGGCTGAGATTGCTAGAGTCCAGGATGTTGGGGCTGCAGTGAGCCACAGTCATGCCACTGCACTCCAGCCTGGGCAACAGAGAAAGACCCTGTCTCAAAAAAAAAAAAAAATCTCAGATCTGCCACTGCTGAGCTCTGAGCTTGGGTGCATTACTTAACCTCTCTGAGCCTTGATTTTCTATACTTGTAAAATAGTAGTAATCTATTCCTGGGGGTGGATTAATGGCAGAGGCTCCAGTTGAGTCCGTTTGGGCCTTGGTGTCTGTCTGTTAAACAGGGTTTGGAATATGCCCCTGGCCTCTAGCCTTCCTCCTTACAGAACTCCCCAATACTGTCATTAAGAATTGAGGCCAGATGTGGTGGCTCATGCCTGTAATCCTAGCATTTTGGGAGGTCAAGGCGAGTGGATCACTTGAGGTCAGGAGTTCAAGACCAGCCTGGGCAACATGGCAAAACCCCATCTCTACAAAAAGTACAAAAATTAGCCAGGTGTGGTGGTGTGTGCCTGTAGTCCCAGCTATTTTGGGGGCTGAGGCAGGAGGACTGCTTGAACCTGGGAGACTGAGGCTGCAATGAGCTGAGATTGCGCCACTGCACTCCAGCTTTGGTGACAAAGTGAGAACCTGTCTCAAGAAAGAGAAAAAGAGTTGAAGGCCAGGCGTGGTGGCTCAAGCCTGTAATCCCAGCACCTTGGGAGGCTGAGGTGGGCAGATCACCTGAGGTCAGGAGTTTGAGACCAGCCTGACCAACATGGTGAAACCCTGTCTCTACTAAAAATAGAAAAATTAGCTGGGTGTGGTGGCGGGCGCCTGTAATCCCAGCTACTAGGGAGGCTGAGTCAGGAGAATCACTTGAACCCAGGAGGTGGAGGTTACAGTGAGCTGAGATGGTGCCATTGCACTCCAGCCTGGGAGACAAGAGCGAGACTCCACCTCAAAAAAAAAAAAAAAAAAAAAAAAAAAGTTGAATTATTTCCCCCAAAAGAGGGTGTTGAGGCTTTAACCCCCAGTACCTCAGGATCACCTTATATGGAGACAGTGTCGTTACAAAAGTAATCAAGTTCAAATGAAGCCAGTGGGTGGGCCCTAATCCAGTATGACTGGAGTCCTTATAAAAAGGGTAAATTGGGACACAGACACACACACAGGGAGCAGCAATGTGAAGATGAAGGCGGAGATCAGGGTGATGTTTGTACGTGCCAATGACTGCCAGAAACCTCCAGAAGCCAGGGGAGAGGCCTGGAAGATTCTCACAACCCTGTCGACACCTTGCCTTGGATGTCTAGCCTCCAGAACTGTCAGACAGGAATTTCTGTGCTTGAGGGACCCTATTTGTGATAAGTTCTGGGAGTCCAAGCAGACTAATACAACTGTCTTCAGAGTTTCAGGCATCCAGACCTGATGCTGTTCCTCCCCCATTTGAAACCCTTCAGTGGCTCCTTCACTCTCAAGGAAAAAAAAATATCCAGACTTCTTGTCCTGGTGTTCCTGGCCTGCCAAGATCTGAGCCCTGCCTGCTGTTTAATCCTCATTGATTGATTGATTGATTTTGAGACGGAGTCTCACTCTGTCACCCAGGCTGGAGTACAGCAGCATGATCTTGGCTCACTGCAACCTCCGCCTTCCGGGTTCAAGCAATTCTCATGCCTCAGCCTCCCTAGTAGCTGCGACTACAGGTGCGCACCACCACACCTGGCTAATTTTTTTGTATTTTAGTAGAGATGGGGTTTCACCATGTTGGCCAGGCTGGTCTCGAACTCCTAACCTCAGGTGATCCGCCTGCCTCAGCCTCCCAGTGCTAGGATTACAAGCGTGAGCCACCATGCCCAGCCCATCCTTATTCTCAGCAAGGAGGCTATTGCAGTCATTCAGCCCAGACAGCTGGAGTTTGCAATGGCAGCCATAGGGATGGAGGAGAGGAGAAGGGTCCAGAGACACTCAAGAGGCGGAATGAATGAGTCGAGAGGAGTGAATCCTGGCAGGGGTATGGGAGATGTGAAGAGCTTGGGCTTTCACCTGTGAGCGGTGCCACGCATTGAGAGGCCCCCGGGAGACATCAGAGAACCCATCTGCGTTGTCAGGGAAGCTCCACGGGAGATGGCCCTTCCAGGGGCCCGGCACAGGGCCAGACACATAATGCATGCTAAATGACTGAATATATAAGCTAAATGACTGAATATATCAGCAAGCCAAGAAAGGCTGGGCATGTGGAAAGGCAGAGATTGCGGGGGGCGGTAGTTTAGGCCAGGGGACCCCAAAACCGGGGGATCCGCACTCACCTACCTGCTCGATCTCCCGGCAGCGCCGACCTAGTGCCTGGTACTTTCTGCGATTTAATTCCCGCTGGCGCCGCCGCCGACCCCGGGCTGCCTCTTCCTCTTCATCTCGCTCCCGGAGCCCTGAGCCGCCCAGACCACCTGACACAAACTCCACTTCCGTCTCCAGCTCGCTCTCCAGGATGTGGCCACCAAATAGGGGAGGCAACGCCAACTCTGAGCCTGGCGGCGCTGAGAACTCCTCAAAGCCCACGGCTGCCATGGTCCTGAGAGGCAGGGAAAGGCTCAGGGGCCCTGGATCCTGGACCCCCAGCCCCTTCTCCCACTGAACCAGGAGCCCAGACCCCAACCCCTCCTCCCTGAGATCCTAGAATCCAGGCCCCCAGCCCCTCCTCCCTCAGACCGTAGAATCCAGCTCCCAGCCCTCCTCCCTCAGACCCAGAAGTCCAAGTCCGCAACCCACCCTTCGCAGCACCCACAGGGTTCAAGCCCTGACCCCCTCCTCCCAGGATGCAAGAGTCCAGACCTCCAGACTTTTTCTCTCCAAGGACCCAGGGAGTCCAAGCCCCAACCCTCAACCAGACGCAAGAGTCCTGGCTTCCAACCTCCTAGTCTGTCAGATCCAGCAGTCCAAACCCCTAACCTTCTCCTCCCTCAGGATGACCCCAGTCCATAAAAGGGTTCTAAGGTAAAGCAGTTGCATGAACTACAACCCCCATCAGACCTCAGCGTAAAAGCTCATATGGTTGCACACAATGCAGCTGCACTGTTTTCTGGGATTCGCACTTTTTCACAAGGGCTCAGCCACATACCCTTCTCTCTGCTCCAATTCCATCTCCGCGACCTCCGGAAGCCCCGGGCCTCAGAGCTTCCGACCTCTTCAATCTGTAGGTTAAGCCGTTCGCAAAACTACTTGTCCCATCAGGCTCAGCAGCCGAGGACGGCGGGACGTGGCCCTAGGCCTTGTGGGAGTTGTAGTTTCCTGTTTCCGGCTTCGCTTCGGCCCACCCCCACGTCCACCCCGAATCCCTGCTTAAAGGCCTTGCTTTCTTGTCTAACGCCGCAACCAGTCCTCTGAGTTGCCAACGTCTTTCTTCTTGTCTCGACGCCCCGTCGTCCGGCCACAGCGATTCTCTGCTTAGCAGGATCGGTCCACAGCGGGACGTGAGTCCCTTTCCTCCTCGCGGCTTACCGCCTCTCTCCGCCTAGTGCCAGGTGCTAATAAAGTTGTTGTTTCAAATGCGGCCAGGAACATCGCGAGCGGGGACCAATCAGAGAGTAGCTTTGCCTCTATAACGGCGCGAGAGTGAGACGTCATCGGTGAGCGACTAACGCTAGAAACAGTGGTGCGCGGAGAGGAGAGGTGAGTGTGATGGAGACCACGGGGAGCGGGAGGCTGGGCTCCTGGGTCTGGGAGAAGAAGTGTGTGAGGAAAAAGGCGGGTCTTTACAGCTTGGTTTTTGTTTTTTTGTTGTTTGTTTGTTTTGAGACGGAGTCTCGTTCTGTTGCCCAGGTTGGAGAGCAGTGGCGCGATCTCGGCTCATTGCAACCTCCGTCTCCCGGGTTCAAACGATTCTTCTGCCTCAGCCTCCAGAGTAGCTGGGATTACAGGCGCCCGCCACCACCCCTGACTAATTTTTGTATTTTTAGTAGAGACGGGGTTTCCCCATGTTGGTCAGGCTGGTCTCGAACTCCTGATCTCGTGATCCGCCCGCCTCGGCCTCCCAAAGTGCTGTGATTACAGGCATGATCCACCGCGCCTGGCCAGTTGTTTGTTTGTTTTGTCTGAGACGGAGTTTCGCTCTTGTTGCCCAGGCTGGAGTGCAGTGGCGCGATCTCGGTTCACTGCAACCTCCGCCTCCCGGATTCAAGCGATTCTCCTGCCTCAGCCTCCCGAGTAGCTGGGATTACAGGCGCGCACCACCACGCCCGGCTAGTTTTTTGTATTTTTAGTAGAGACGGGGTTTCACTATGTTGGCCAGGCTGGTCTCCAACTCCTGACCTCAGATGATCCACCCGCCTGGGCCTCCCAAAGTGCTGGGATTACAGGCATGAGCCACCGCTCCCGGCCTTTTACAGCCTGTTTACCCAAAAGTCTTAATATGCGCCTACCATGGTGTGGCCCTGGGGATGTGGAAGGAGCAAAAATTGTTCGCTACCCTCTTAGAGCTTTGGTTGATGCCTGGCAGACAGGCTTTATCAAATAATTACTTCATTAATCACAAATGTGTGAAGTGCCTTACTGTAGACACGCAGAGCGTGCGGGACACGTTATCACAAAGCAACCTCCTGTAGTCTAGAGTGGGGCGTGTGGGTCAGGGAGGTGGAACGTGAGAGCTGAAGGCTGAGGAGATGCTGGGCTACTAAGAAGTGAGGAGAGCCAGACGCCATGGCTCACTCCTGTAATCCCAGCACTTTGGGTGGCCCAGGCGAAAGGATCGCTTGAGCCCAGGAGTTTGAGACCAGCCTGAGCAACACAGTGAGACCCTGTCTCTACAGAAAAATTTAAAAATTAGCCGGGCGTGCTGGTGCGTGCCTGTCATCTCAGCTATCGGGAGGCTGAGGCGGGAGAATCGCTTGAGCCCAGGTGATCGAGGCTGCCGTGAGCTATGATGGCGCCACTGCACTGCAGCCTAGGTGACAGAGCAAGACATGGTCTCAAAAAAAAGAAAAGAAAAGAAAAAACAAAGTGAAGGAAAGGGCCACTTTAGTTACAAGGGACTCCTGTACAAAGACCTGGAGGCGGGAAGAGACCGATAATGTAACCAACTCAAGTTTCTGCTACTCAGAGGCAGAGGAAGTGGGGGGTGGTGAAAGTAAAGCAGCTTTACTGATCAAATGCTCGCAGATGAGAAATGGCCAAGCTAATGTCTTTAGAAGACCATTTCAAGCTTTAGGCTGGGGAGAGGGGCTTAAAAAGGGGAACTTTGAATGGGAGGCATACAGGAGTGGTGCTGGGTACAAGGTATGTGTGTCTTGCTCCGAAGGCTGTCTTGAGTCACGGGCCACCTGGAGCATGGGCTGGTGTCAAGTCAACAATGGCCACGTTGTAGATTGATCGCCTTGAGGTGATCTCTGGAGTTTTGCAGCTGGGTTTCCATACCTAGTTTGTTTCAAGATTAGCCCCTGCGGCGAGGCGCGGTGGCTTACGCCTGTAATCCCAACAGTTTGGGAGGCCAAGGTGGGTCGCTCACTTGAGGTCAAGAGTTCAAGACCAGCCTGGCTTACATAGTGAAACCTTGACTCTACAAAAAAAAAAAAAAAAAATTAGCTGGGCATGGTGGCAGGTGCCTGTAGTCCCAGCTACTCAGGAGGCTGAGGCAGGAGAATCGCTTGAACCCAGGAGGTGGAGGTTGCAAGTGAGCCAAGACTGCGCCACTGCACTCCAACCTGGGTGTCAGAGCCAGACTCCATCTTTAAAAAATAAATAAATAAAGATTAGCCCCTGGAACTTCTAAGTAAGCACATAGATAAGCCAGCAGTGCAAGACAGTATCTAGTGGGAAAGGAGGGAAACAAAGAATTTCAAAGTATGTTTTCAAGGCTAAAGGCAAGAAAGGAATAAGAAAGTTTGCAAATGCATTTGGAATCTACACCACTTGGTTCCAGTAAGTCTTAGCAAGGTGGCGGTCATAGGGGTGTGCTGCGTCTTGCACAGGTCGGAGCTGGAGACTCGCCAGTGAACAAAACAAACTAAAGCACCTGTTGTCGTGGAGCCTGCATGCTAGTGGGGTTGATAAAGAAGGACCAGGGTCTTCTGGGGGAGAATCATCGCTCAGTAATAAGGAGGGACTTTGTCGGGGCAAGTTTTTAGGGAACGCTGCTGTCCCTCCCCAGGCCTCGGGATGTCTCTGGCAGATGAGCTCTTAGCTGATCTCGAAGAGGCAGCAGAAGAGGAGGAAGGAGGAAGCTATGGGGAGGAAGAAGAGGAGCCAGCGATCGAGGATGTGCAGGAGGAGACACAGCTGGATCTTTCCGGGGATTCAGTCAAGACCATCGCCAAGCTATGGGATAGTAAGATGGTAAGAGGACAAGAGGTGTTCCTAGCAGGGGGCTCTAGACAGAATCTCCCAGAAGGGGGTGATACAGGCTTCTTTTTGAAGAGTGCTGGATTCTGACTGTCTTCTCCTTTCCTACAGTTTGCTGAGATTATGATGAAGATTGAGGAGTATATCAGCAAGCAAGCCAAAGCTTCAGAAGGTGCTTCCTCCCACTCTGTGCCCCTCCCCATCTCCTGTCTCTCCTGCCAGGCCCCCTGGCTCCCTGGCTGCTTGTGGCTGGGTATATCTCCTTCTCAGCCTTTTCCAGAGCCTTCTTTTTTTTTTGTTTCACCCCAACCCGTTCCCTTTTCCACTAAATATATATTGCATTGTAAAGCTCATGCTTCTTAAGTCCTTCCTGTGTGCTGAGCTTACTGATCATGATAGGACTCAGCTTGAGGTTTCCCAGACTTCACTGATTCACATGACCGGTTACAGGGTTTTTGCCACATCTATAAGCCGCTTATCCTATTATTTGCTTAACATATTCTTTGAGTCTAGGACTTTTTTTCTTAAATTTATCTGAGAAGGAAGCAAATTGCTACCATGAATGGAAAACTGGTATCATTTGGCAAAGACAAAGTCACTGTATAAAAATAGATATATAATTATTTAGGAACCACCTAAGGCCGGGCGCCGTGGCTCACGCCTGTAATCCCAGCACTTTGGGAGGCGGAGGCAGGTGGATCATGAGTTCAGGAGATCGAGACCATCCTGGCTAACACGGTGACACCCCGTCTCTACTAAAAATACAAAAAATTAGCCAGGCGTGGTGGCGGGTGCCTGTAGTCCCAGCTACTCAGGAGGCTGAGGCGGGAGAATGGCGTGAACCTGGGAGGCGGAGCTTGCAGTGAGCCGAGATCGTGCCACTGCACTCCAGCCTGGGCGACAGAGCAAGACTCCGTCTCAAAAAAAAAAAAAATAACCTAAAACCTTTTCTCATGCCCAAATTGAGAGAACACTAGCTTATCTCATGAGTGCTCAGACTCACTCTTAAGAGGGCAGTCCTGTTACCATTCCTATTCTTTTTTTTTTTTCCTTGAGATAGAGTCTCCCTCTGTCGCCCAGGCTGGAGTGCAGTGATGTGTTCTTGGCTCATTGCAACCTCCACCTCCCGGGTTCAAGCGATTCTCCTCCCTCAGCCTTATGTATAGCTGGGATTACAGGTATGCAACACCATGCCTGGCTATTTTGTATTTTTTAGTAGAGATGGGGTTTCACCATGTTGACCAGGCTAGTCTCGAACTCCTGACCTCAAGTAATCCGCCCACCTCGGCCTCCCAAAGTGCTGGGATTACAGGCATGAGCCACTACGCCCAGCCTTCCCATTCTTCTTGAATGGAATTTGTTGATGACAGGAAGCCATAGGAGGTTTCTGGGGAAAGAAGTGTAGTGAGAGGGCAGAGTTTCGGGAGACTCACTGCTTGCTTTCTTTAACGTTTACCTGGGCACCCAGTTGAATCGCCCAGGTCTTTGCTCTCAAAGTACTCAAGGTCTAGTGGAAGAGGCAGGCCAGGTTCCAGACAGCTATCAGTGGTGGTACCAAGCTGGGGACACCGGAGCCACAGGAGGGACTGGCTGACCCTGCCCCAGGTGTCAGGAAGAATCGATAGCTGAATTGGACTGTAGAGCATGAATGCATGTGCCAGGCAAAGAAAGGGAGAAGGGGGCCCAGGGAAAGACAGCGGCAGGCCCGGGGCCTCAGATATCCGGAGAGAGAATCCTGCAGAGTTCCAGATGCCAGGCCAAGGAATTTCTCCCTCCAGAGGGTTATGGGACACAGAAAGTGACATTTCCTGATGTCAGGCCAGGCTCAGGGATGGAGTCAGACCCCGTCACACCCGGTGTCTGGTTGAGGAGGCAGAGGTGAAACATCTCACAAGCTGTGGCAGTCCCTGTTTACTGGAGGTGCACAAGTGCTGCGGGTACACAGAGGAGGCGTCTGATCCTTCCAGAAAGGGAGGGAAGGATTCTGAGTCGCTGCCTGAGTCTTAAGGACTTAAAGAGCCATTTGAGCATCAGGGTTAGGAGTGCAGACTCTGACGCCGCCCTGCCTGGTGTCAGATCTGAGCTCTGCCTTCTACTGGCTGTGACATCAGGCAGTTAGTATTTGCATGACTTTTAAACACAACATCTTTTTGTTTGTTTGTTTTTTGAGACAGGGTCTCACTCTGTCACCCAGGCCAGAATGCAGTGGCACGATCCCAGCTCACTGCAGCCTTGACCTTGTGGGCTCAGGCGTTCCTGCCTCAGCCTCCCAGGCAGCTGGGACCACAGGTGTACACCACCATGCCTGGCTAATTTTTTTTCTTTAATTATGTGTAGAGATGGGGTCTCCCTATGTCGCCCAGGTTGCTCTCCAACTCCTGGGCTCAAGCAGTTCTCCTGCCTCAGCCTCCCAAAGTGCTGGGATTACAGGTATGAGCCACTGTGCCTGACCTCTTATTACTAAAGCACAAAGAAGCGTTTTCCAGAAACAGACGTGGGGTAAGGGATGCTCTGGGGAGAGGGAGCAGCACATGCAGAGGCCAGGAGGGGTCTGGCGCGGTGGCTCACGCCTGTCATCCCAGCACTTTGGGTGGTCAAGGCAGATGGATCACCTGAGGTCGGGAGTTCGAGACCAGCCTGCCCAACATGGTGAAACCCCGTCTCTACTAAAAATACAAACAAACAAAAAAAATTAGCCGGGCGTGGTGGCACATGCCTGTAATCCCAGCTACTCAGGAGGCTGAGGCAGGAGAATCGCTTGAACCCAGGAGGCGGAGGTTGCAGTGAGCTGAGATCATGCCACTATACTCTAGCCTGGGCAACCAGAGCGAAATTATGTCTCAAAAAAAAAAAAAAAGGCTAGGAGGAGTGGGTGTCTGGGGCACTGTGATCACTCCTTTATGGCTGGAGTGGAATAAAATGAGGTGTGGTGAGAGGATGGGGCGGGAAGGGCGGGAGGCCAGACTGCAGAGCTGCTGAGTCAGCAAACAGGAACGGGGGAACTCCCTGTGTGCCAGGTGCTGTCCTGGGTACTCGGCTGTGGGTACAGCCAACGCAGGCACAGCACTGGTCCCTGCAGAGCTTCCGGAGTTGGGGAGGCCCTGAATGTCAGTCTGAGGACTCGGTCATTAGCCTTGGGGCTGTGGGGAGCCGTAGGAGGTTTCACACGGTCAGTTCTGGGGTAGATGGGGTCAAGTCTAGACTGGTGTGGAGGGAGAGGGATTGAAGGCAGGAACACAAGTTCAGGGATGTCTGCAGACATCAGCCTGTCCCTGGTTTACTCTTCAGCCCCTCCTTCCTGACCCCTCCCAACTTCATCCTCCGCCTCCTCCAGCTGCGGGACCCGAGAGGGGGTAGGGATTTAGATACTCACACCCATGCCTCCGTGTCCTCACAGTGATGGGACCAGTGGAGGCCGCGCCTGAATACCGCGTCATCGTGGATGCCAACAACCTGACCGTGGAGATCGAAAACGAGCTGAGTGAGTGCTGGGGGGCAGGCGGAGACAGCCCCGTGTGACGTCCCTCACGCCCCCTCTCCCTTCCCCACTGGCCTTTCCCAGGGTCCTGCCCCTAAGCCCAAGCTCAGATCGAGGTTGACCTGCTGTCACAGAGTGGCTGAAATAAGAAGGAAGTGCGTTCTCTCGCGTATGAGTCTGAGGAGCACTCGGGGATGGTGTGGCCGCTTGGCTGCCTGTAGGGCCCCGGCTCTTTCCATCCTGTTGGTCGGCCACCTGCCTCACGGTGCGAGGTGACTGCCCCACCTCCAGCCATCACCTCCGCATTCCCACCAGCAAGGCGCTTCTTTTCTTTAAGAACATGTCACTGCAGCTCACGTTTTACAGACCAGAACTAATTCCCCTGGTCACACCTAGCGGTAAGGACGGCTGAGAAAGGCTGTATGCTGGTGCCCGTGTGCCAGGCCACAAGCCAGGGCTTCAGTTACTAAAGGAAGAAGGGGACATGGGTGTTAGGGCCAACCAGCAGAGTCTACCTTCCATCTCACCCGACAACCTCCTGTCCCGTTTACCCTAGACATCATCCATAAGTTCATCCGGGATAAGTACTCAAAGAGATTCCCTGAACTGGAGTCCTTGGTCCCCAATGCACTGGATTACATCCGCACGGTCAAGGTGAGCGCAGAGAAGGTGGGGTGCTTCTGCTGGCGTGAAGGGGCAGGCGGGGCTCACTCTCGGACCCCCTCCCAGAGGCCTCAGGGTCTGGAGACGATGGAGAGGAGTGGACGAGGGCTCAGTGGTCTGCTCTGCCCAGCGTGGGAGGGACGGAGCCTGGACAGGACTTTCTCAGGGCTCCCCTCCAACCCCAGTCTCCCGAGAGGGCTTCCCCGCTGGCCTGACCCACGCTGCTCCCGCTGTGGTTGGAGCCGGTGGCATTGGAGTTGACATCCGAAGGTTGACACAGGGCAGGCACACGGAGATTTGGGGCAGAGAGACGTCTAAGTGCAGAGAGCTGGAGAGGGAACAAGTGGGGAGGAAGTGAGGCGGGGAAGGAGGGGACGGGGAAGAGGTCGGATCACGTCCAGCCTTTGGGTCTTAGGAGAAAGCCAAGGAAGGGTTTCGGAAAAGAGGGGCAGGTGTGCGTGAGGGCGGGGAGAGGAGGAGGTCCCCACGCATGTCCAGGAAAGGATTAGGATGGCGGTGGGGAAGCCCCTGCAGGGAAGCGAGGCCGCGGATTTGCACTCCGACTTGACGCAGGCCAGAGGCTTGTGAGGCCACAGTCTTTCCAGACGCCACTCTGCCCGGGCTCCGTTTCCAGGTCAGCGAAAGCAGGGCAGATGGTGTGGATGCTTGACGTGGTGGAGGCAGGAATGGTGTGGATGCTTCAGGCGGTGGAGGCAGGAGAGGCCCCCAGTGCAGAGACCCTGACTGTCCCAGTGTCCCTAAGAAGAGACCTGAGGAGGTGCTGAGCAAGAGAGGTTCTCGAGCCTTCCTGAGTTCCCGAGCCTCCCCTATCTTCTCTGCTCGCCCCCAGGAGCTGGGCAACAGCCTGGACAAGTGCAAGAACAATGAGAACCTGCAGCAGATCCTCACCAATGCCACCATCATGGTCGTCAGCGTCACCGCCTCCACCACCCAGGGGTATGTCCGCTTCGAGGGAGGCGCCGGGCCCTAATGGGATTGGGGATTAGGCTGGAGCTACACACGCAGGTGTACACACGCACACACACATACACACATGCACACACACACACAGAACCGAGAGGGCTGGGGCTGGGCACACCAGGCAGGCGGGAGATCCAGGAGGCTGGGCCCACCCGCCCCTGCAGGCAGCAGCTGTCGGAGGAGGAGCTGGAGCGGCTGGAGGAGGCCTGCGACATGGCGCTGGAGCTGAACGCCTCCAAGCACCGCATCTACGAGTATGTGGAGTCCCGGATGTCCTTCATCGCACCCAACCTGTCCATCATTATCGGGGCATCCACGGCCGCCAAGATCATGGGTGAGTCCCCGGGCTGGGTCCCATGGAGCGGGGGTCTGCTGACACTGTGACCTTGGGAAAGCTACATCCTTTTCTGTAGAATGGGGGCTTTGGCACCTGGACCTCAGCACCCCGTCTCCCTGGACATCACAGAGGTCAGCCAGCCTGGCACACAGCAAAGCCTCGTCTGTGGGAAAAACACTCACCCACAGCTCCTTCTCCCTCCCCTGTGCCGGAAACCCAGAGATGACCACACCCAGGCCCTGTTGTCAGGGAGCTCCTGGTTTGGTGAAAATGGTTCCAAAACACAGCCATCCCTGGAACGGCGTTAGTGTGGCTTAGCACAAACGTGGTGGTCAGCTTCCTGTTGGGGGCCTCCTCCCTGCACCCCCAGGCCAGCTGCCCTCCCTCTCTGAGCCTCCTTTGCATCTGCCCCTTGCGGAATGGGCCAGGTCGCCCGCCTGGCAGGGCCATCGAGGAATCCAACCAGAACTTCATGTAAAGGTGCCCAGCACACGTCGAGCCCCCAGGCAGATTTACTCACCCCCACCTCTCTGCTTTCTTCTGACCGCCCCCCCTTCCTCCCTCCCTCCCACCGCAGGTGTGGCCGGCGGCCTGACCAACCTCTCCAAGATGCCCGCCTGCAACATCATGCTGCTCGGGGCCCAGCGCAAGACGCTGTCGGGCTTCTCGTCTACCTCAGTGCTGCCCCACACCGGCTACATCTACCACAGTGACATCGTGCAGTCCCTGCCACCGGTGAGCCCACTGCGTCATGGCCCCTCCCCCGGCCCCCCTGGAGCCTTCCGCTGTGCCCAGACAGCCTGAGCAGCCACCCACCATCTGGCCCAGCTGACGGTAGCACTCAGGAGCTGGGAACAGGGTGGCATGGGACGTGAGAGCCAGGGCTCTGCAGCAGACCAGCTCCAGCACCCACCAGTCAGGTGACTGTGGGCAAGAGGCATGAGCGCCCTGTGCCTCAGTCTCCTCCCCTATCAAATGGGAGCACAGCGCCTGCTTCATGAGTTGGGACGAGGGCTCAGTGCACATGAAGCACTTACAGTTCAGGCCTAGCTCACGACAAGCAGCGTCGGGTTAGCGTGCAACTGCTCCGAAGACCACCCTCAGGTTTGACCATTCACTAGAAAGACTCACAGAATCCACTGAGGGCTGCACATCAGCCATGGGGAGAGACACACAGGAGGGGCAGGAGAGGTCACCAACCTCGGAGCTTCCCGGGTCCTCTCCCTGCAGTCGGGACACATCACCATCCCAGCATCGACGCCTGACAGCACACACACAGGCCCGCTAGCCTGGCGGGGCGCAGTGGCTCGTGCCTGTCATCCCAGCACTTTGGGAGGCCGAGGCGGGCAGATCACCTGAGGTCAGGTGTTCGAGACCAGCCTGGCCAACATGGTGAAACCCCATCTCTACCAAAAATACAAAAAACTAGCTGGGTATAGTGGCACACACTTATAATCCCAGCTACTTGGGAGGCTGAGGCAGGAGAATCGCTTGAACCCAGGAGGTGGAGGTTGCAGTGAGCTAAGATCATACCACTGCCCTCCAGCCTGGGTGACAGAGTGAGACTCTGTCTCAAAAAAAAAAAAAAACAAGACAGGTTCTGGGACAGACAGGCCTGGGTCCAGACCCTGCTCTGTCCGACTGTGGCGAGTTACCTCAGGCTCACGGCCCTGTGCCCTGCCTGGCCTCCCCCAGGGATGGGGAGAACAATAGCACTGATGGCCAAGGCTGGGCAGGCACTTCCTGGCCCCACCCCCCAGCCCTGTGTGGGGTTTTTTTTGTGGTCTTTTCTGCGACCCTTTAGGTCAGGCACTGCTACTGGAACACACCCAGGGAGGCTGGCAGGTCACCCCATCCTGGGAGGAGAGAGAGTGGGCGATAGAACCCAGGACGGGTGGGCCTGGGGCTCGGGGCTCCAGCTGCCTCACTGCACCCCTGCCATCGCCACCGCCTCACAGCCCTGGGCATATGGGTTAAACCTGCCCCAGGGAGCCTGATGTCTTGTCACCCAGGCCTCTGCCTCTTCATTTGGCCATCTCACATCGGTCCAGGCACAGGCCGTAGACACCACAGGCCTGTAAGGGAGGCCAGGGCTGGCCATCGCTTCACTGTGGCTGACAGCTGGGCTCTGTTTGCAGTTTGGATTGGAACCCTGGCTCCATCACCTGCTGGCTGTCTCCCTGGCCACATGACTTGAAGCCTTGGTTTCCACATCTGAAAAGGGGGTGCAATGATCACACCAGCCCAATATTTGAATATTTGATGAGATGATCCGAGGGGCGTGCTTAGCATGGGGCTGGCATCCAGGCCGAGTGCACTCCCCCCGGCGTCTCCACAGTCACCACCGTCCTCGTTGTCAGCGTGCCTTACTGTCATCCTTACCTGATGGCCACTTATCAGCTGGGACATGGCTCTGTGCCCTGCCCTCATCCCCTCTTCCTGTGAAGTAGGAGCTGAGAGCACACACCTCTAGAGCCCAAGGGTGGAAAGCCCCCTTCCAGGACCCCAGGTAGAGCCAGAGGAGGAGCGCGCGCGGTTGCTTTGCTGTTACCTCTGTCTGTCTGTCTCACACAGATTCCACCCCCGTTTTCCGTTGCTCCAGGATCTGCGGCGGAAAGCGGCCCGGCTGGTGGCCGCCAAGTGCACACTGGCAGCCCGTGTGGACAGTTTCCACGAGAGCACAGAAGGGAAGGTGAGGAGGGAAAGGTGAGGGGCGGCCGGGCGTCTTTTCCTCTGGGCCTGGGGTGTCTCTGCAGGGAGACCCTCAGCAGGGAGCCCACCCCAGCGAGCACTGTCCTACCAAGGCGGAGGCAGTGCTTCTGCCCACCCTCCCTGGGGTCAGGCACCCCCTTCCCCAGTGGGGTTTCCTAGGTCTGCTGTTGGAAGGTAGCATGAACCTACTGGCTTCAAACAGTGCAGGTGTGGCCGGGTGCAGTAGCTCACGCCTGTAATCCCAGCACTTTGGGAGGCCAGGGTGGGCGGGTCACAAGGTCAGGAGTTTGAGACCAGCCTGGCCAACATGGTGAAACCCCATCTCTACCAAAATTAGCCGGGTGTGGTGGCACGCACCTGTAATCCCAGTTACTCAGGAGGCTGAGGCAGGAGAATTGCTTGAACCTGGGAGACGGAGGTTGCAGTGAACTGAGATTGCATCATTGCACTCCAGCTTGGGTGACATAGCGAGACTCCATCTAAAAACAAAAACAAAAAACAGTACAGGTTTATTATCTGTGGTCCTGTAGGTCAGAAGTCCAAAATGAGTTTCACTGGGCTGAAGTCAGGGTGTCATCCTGGAGCGTTCCTTCTGGGGGATTCAAGGGATAATCCATTCCCTTGTCTTTTCCAGCTTCTAGGGGTCACTGGCACCCCTTAGCTCGTGGCCCTCCCTCTGTCTGCGGAGCCAGCCACATAGCACCCTCAGACCTCTCTCTGACTCTGCTTCTGTCTTCATATCTCGGCCTCTGTTTTTGTTCCCCTCTTCTATTTTAAGGGCCCCTGTGGCTATACTGAGCCTACTCAGATGGTCCAGGATAGTCTTCCCAGCTCACAATCCTTAAAATCCTTCTTAACCTCTTCACGTCCCTTTTGCCCTGTGATTCTGGGAATTAGAACATGGGCCTCTTTGGGCATGTGTGTGTTGGTGGGGGCGTAATTTGCCTTCCACACCAGGATCTGTCCCCGCTGCAACAGGGGATGTTATTCAAGTAATTATTCAGTTACCTTCTGTCTTCCTTGGTAGATGTACTCGGGAGAGGAGACGTTTTCTGTCTTGTGAACTGTCGTTTGCCAAGCACCCGGCCTGGCACAGCGTTCAGGTGTTCCGTGTCCCCTTCTCCTTTCCCTCTCCCCATCTCACCCCTGGTCTGGGTGTGGGGGTGCAGCTGTGAGTAGCACAGACAGGACCCCTGCCCCGTGGCGTGGACATTCTTGTTGGGGCCGGGTCAAAGAGACAGTCAACAGGTGAACTCTGTCCTGCGTCTAGCGGTGCTAAGTCAACACCAAGAAGAAAAAGAAAGGGGGTGGCGGTGAGGCAGCATTAGGTGCTGATTTAACTAAGGCACGTGGATACTCGGGGGGTCCGCTCAGAGGAGGCCTGGGTGGGCAGCCCACGCGAGCAGCTGCAGGACCTCCCCCTCGCCCTCCCCAGGTGGGCTACGAACTGAAGGATGAGATCGAGCGCAAATTCGACAAGTGGCAGGAGCCGCCGCCTGTGAAGCAGGTGAAGCCGCTGCCTGCGCCCCTGGATGGACAGCGGAAGAAGCGAGGCGGCCGCAGGTGAGGGGCCCTGGGGGTCCGGTAGGCATGGGGGTCATGGAGGGGAGAAGCCGGCGTCCTCCTCCCAGCCGACTCCCTGGCGCCGCCCACCCACCCGTCCCCAGGTACCGCAAGATGAAGGAGCGGCTGGGGCTGACGGAGATCCGGAAGCAGGCCAACCGTATGAGCTTCGGAGAGGTCAGACTCCCAGAGCGCCCTCCTCAACCCCACAGCCAGCCAGCCGCCACCGCCCTCTGCCTCCTGCCACCGCCCCTCCTCTCGTCCTGTGGCCCTGGCTCATGTCTAGGGCGCTGCCCCAGCCTCCTCCCCCCCGGCCTCTATTCTCGTTTCCATCCATTCAGCCCCAAAGCGACCCTCGCGGCCCTTGGAGCCTGTGTCTCCGCTGCTTAGAGCCCCCGCGGCTTCCCATCGCCCCGGGCTCCTTGGCCGGTTCCTCCCTGCCCAGAGGCTCCTTAGTGCCCTGCTGCACGGCCGCCCCGTCCCTGGGCCCCGCCAGTCTCCTCTGTTATCCCAGCGTCATCCCCTTGGTCCTGCAGGACCGAACTCAGAGGCCACCTCATCCTATTAAACCTGTTCTGGTTCCTGACATCCCCCGACCCACACGAGTAAGGAAGGAATGGCCTCCCAACTCTGAGCTCACAGAGCAGTGCTGGGACCGGGCCCCTCTCAGGCTCCCCGGCATCCCCCGCGTGTGTGGGCCCCCAGGCCTCAGCCGGGCCGAGTGGGTACCGGAGCAGGTGCCCGTGGGACCGGCCGGCTGGTGACCGCTGGGCTTCCGGCTGGTGGAGGGGGTGCCTCGGTGGCTGGAGGGCAGGGCCTGGTCGCTGAACTGCAGGGCGCCTCCTCTTCCCCCTAGATCGAGGAGGACGCCTACCAGGAGGACCTGGGATTCAGCCTGGGCCACCTGGGCAAGTCGGGCAGTGGGCGTGTGCGGCAGACACAGGTAAACGAGGCCACCAAGGCCAGGATCTCCAAGACGCTGCAGGTATGGGCCAGACCCAGGTGGGGCTGGGGACCGAGGGACACAAGGTGGGGGGAGCCCAGATCGCAGCCTCCCTGTCCTCCCCACAGCGGACCCTGCAGAAGCAGAGCGTCGTATATGGCGGGAAGTCCACCATCCGCGACCGCTCCTCGGGCACGGCCTCCAGCGTGGCCTTCACCCCACTCCAGGTACCTCCCCTGGGCCGGCTCTGTCCCCAGCCCTGAGACCTTGGCAAGGCCCCTTGCCCTCTGCCCCTGTGAAGAAGGCCAGGATGAGTCTCCTCATGGGGCTGTTGTGGAGGGTGTGGTGACGAGGTATGCAGAGGACGTAGACAGCTCCTGGCACACAGGAAGAGGTTAGCAGAGACGAGAGCCCAGCGCTGAGCAGTCCTCGTGAGCACGCACTGCTTTAGAACCAGGCCCACAGCTGTGTTCAGGGCACCCAGTTCCTCTGTCGGGCTGTGAGCGGGTAACACTGCTCAGCCTCCAGGCCCTCCAGTTCAAAACGGCCAGGACGGTTAAGGTAACCTCAGGACCCCACTCGAGAAAGTTCCCGGCTAGGCGGGCTTGGATGTCAAGTGTGGGTCCAGGCCCCAGCCAGTCAGCAGTGAGCAGCGTGGAGCATGGCAGTCACCGCATCGTCGGAGCCTCGGTTTACCATCCACAGAGCAGGGCGAGCCTGCACCACGGAGGCGAGACAGCAGCGAGCTCATCTGCCCAGTCAGCGGGTGTCTACGCAGCACCTGCTGAGTTCTGTCAGTGTTCCCGGCTCTGGGGATGAAGCAACGAATGAGAGACAAGTCTTACCTTCTTGGAGCCAGTGGGTGGCCGGGCGCAGACAGCTCAGTAAGATGTCCAGTGTAGGAGAAGGCAGAAATGCCAGGCCGGGCGCAGACAGCTCAGTAAGATGTCCAGTGTAGGAGAAGGCAGAAATGCCAGGCTGGGCGCAGACAGCTCAGTAAGATGTCCAGTGTAGGAGAAGGCAGAAATGCCAGGCCGGGCGCAGACAGCTCAGTAAGATGTCCAGTGTAGGAGAAGGCAGAAATGCCAGGCCGGGCGCAGACAGCTCAGTAAGATGTCCAGTGTAGGAGAAGGCAGAAATGCCAGGCCGGGCGCAGACAGCTCAGTAAGATGTCCAGTGTAGGAGAAGGCAGAAATGCCAGGCTGGGCGCAGACAGCTCAGTAAGATGCCCAGTGTAGTAGAAGGCAGAAATGCCAGGCCGGGCGCGGTGGCTCACGCCTGTAATCCCAGCACTTTGGGAGGCCGAGGCAGGTGGATCATGAGGTCAGGAGATCGAGACCATCCTGGCTAACACGGTGAAACCCCGTCTCTACTAAAAATACAAAAACTTAGCCGGGCGTGGTGGCGGGCGCCTGTAGTCCCAGCTACTTGGGAGGCTGAGGCAGGAGAATGGCGTGAACCCGGGAGGCGGAGCTTGCAGTGAGCCGAGATCGCGCCACTGCACTTCAGCCTGGGCGACAGAGCCAGACTCTGTCTCAAAAAAAAAAAAAAGAAGGCAGAAATGCCAGGGAGGGGAGGAGGTGGAAGGTAGGAGGTGGGACAGGGGAGGCTCTCGTTTCGGAGCAGCCAGGGAGGGCCTCTTTGAGAAGATGAGGCCAGTGGCTGTGCCTTTCCAAGCCTCCCCTCCTCCATCATGAGGTGCTCAGGACTGAAAAGAACGCACAGGAAGCACTTGGCACTGGGCTCACCATTAGAGCCCAATGACTGGGTCCTGTTATTATTTTTAGAGACGGGGGCTCGCTCTGTTGCCTTGAAAATATTTAGGAAGTGCCAGCCAGGTGTTGGCTCCCATTGCTGCCACTATGATCGTCAGTGGTGTTGGTGTGATTTGTGCTAGGACCTCGGGCCAGCCATGTCCCCCAGGGACTCAGTTTCCTTATGCAGAAACTGGGCAGGATTGGCTGTCCTCAAGCATTGGTTGTTTTTAGCACCCCTGAGGAACTTCGTACAAATCCAGGCGCCCTGGTTCCTCCCCACCCTCTCCCTCTAGACCCACTGAGTCAGAATCTCCCAAGACAGGGCAACTCCAGGGACAGGCAAACTGTCTCATGCCCACCAAGGCCTGAGTGCCATGGGGAAGGGCCTGGGGGGCTCTGATGGGTCACAGTTGGGGCCTTCTCCTCACCTAACCCATCATCCTCTCTCCCTCACCTGCCCAGGGCCTGGAGATTGTGAACCCACAGGCGGCAGAGAAGAAGGTGGCTGAGGCCAACCAGAAGTATTTCTCCAGCATGGCTGAGTTCCTCAAGGTCAAGGGCGAGAAGAGTGGCCTTATGTCCACCTGAATGACTGCGTGTGTCCAAGGTGGCTTCCCACTGAAGGGACACAGAGGTCCAGTCCTTCTGAAGGGCTAGGATCGGGTTCTGGCAGGGAGAACCTGCCCTGCCACTGGCCCCATTGCTGGGACTGCCCAGGGAGGAGGCCTTGGAAGAGTCCGGCCTGGCCTCCCCCAGGACCGAGATCACCGCCCAGTATGGGCTAGAGCAGGTCTTCATCATGCCTTGTCTTTTTTAACTGAGAAAGGAGATTTTTTGAAAAGAGTACAATTAAAAGGACATTGTCAAGATCTGTCCTTGGGGAGTGATCATTTTTCAAACAGCCGGGGCAACTAGAAGAATCAGAGCTGTGGAGCTTTGAGAAAAGAGCTTGGCCCTCGGGTCCAAGCGGTGTCTAGGCCCACTCCCTTCCCCGTTACTTTCTCGTCATGGGATCCCAGAAGGAAAAAGCCCTCTCCAACCCCCTGGAGAGCCGCAGTCACTTTGATAGCAAATGATGTGGCTGCCAACAGCCGCAGATCTCAGCGCAGGCCGACCGGGATTGCTGTCCACCTCAGGCCAGCCTCCTCACCTTTCCAAGCCTCCACACCTACGCCCAGGTGCCCAGGACTGGAAAGAATGCACAGAAAGCACTTAGCATGGGACTTGCCATCAGCGCCCTATAACCAGGTCCTGTTATGATTGGGTTTTTTAGAGACGGGGTCTCTGTTGCCCAGGTTGGAGTACAGTGATGCGATGAAGCTCACTAAAGCCTCAAACTCCTGGGCTGGGATTACAGGCATGAACCAGCACAGCTGGCCTCCTGGTTAATTTAAATTTTTTTTTTTTTTCTGAGGTGGAGTCTCGCTCTGTTGCCCAGGCTAGAGTACAGTGGTGCAATCTTGGCTCACTGCAACCTCTACCTCCCGGGTTCAAGCAATTCTCCTGCCTCAGCCTCCTGAGTAGCTGGGATTACAGGCATGTGCCACCATGTCCCGCTAATTTTTATAGTTTTTAGTAGAGACAGGGTTTCGCCATGTTGGTCAGGCTGTTCTCGAACTCCTGACCTCATGATATGCCCACCTCAGCCTCCCAAAGTGCCAGGATTACAGGTGTGAGCCACCACCCCAGCCCCATTTTTAAATTGTTTATAGACAGGGTCGTGCTCTATTACCCAGGCTGGGCTTGAACTCCTGTGCTCAAGTGAGCTTTCCACCTCAGCCTCCCTAAGTGTTGAGATTACAGGCTTGAGCCGCTGTGTCTGGCCTCTTATTATTATTATTATTTTTTTTTTTGAGACAGAATCTCACTCTGTTGCCCAGGCTGGAGTGCAGTGGGATGATCCTGGCTCATGGCAACCTCCACCTCCCGGGTCCAGGTGATTCTCCTGCCTCAGTCTCCTGAGTAGCTGGGATTACAGGCGCCCATGGGTTTTGTTTGTTTGTTTGTTTGTTTGTTTGTTTTTCAGACGGAGTCTTGCTCTGTCACCCAGGCTGGAGTGCAATGACATGGTCTTGGCTCACTGCAAACTCCGCCTCCCAGGTTGAAGTGATTCTCCTGCCTCAGCCTCCCGAATAGCTGGGATTACAGGCGCCCGCCACCACGCCTGGCTAATTTTGTATTTTTAGCAGAGACGGGGTTTCACCATTTGGGCCAGGCTGGTCTTGAATTGCTGACCTTGTGATCTGCCCGCCTCGGCCTCCCAAAGTGCTGGGATTACAGGTGTGACCCACCGCGCCCGGCCGAGATGGGGTTTTACCATGTTGGCCAGGCTGGTCTCGAACTCCTGACCTCAAATAATCCGCCTGCCTCGTCTCCCAAAGTGCTGGGATTACCCTGTGCCTGGCCCAGCCTCTTATTTATAACCAGTGTTGAGGGACTGTGTGGAGCCGGGCACAGGCGAAGCAGGCAGGCTTCCTGCCCTGGTAGGACCTGGTTGCTATAAAAGTCCTGCCAGGTGAGCAGAAGGAGCACACTTCCCCTCCCCTGACCTCCAGTCACTGAGTCTCGGGAACCGGGGCTCGGCCAGGAGCGCCTTTACTTGGACTGAGGGGAATGTGGCCTGCAGACAGTCAGGAGAGTTTCCAGGGGACAGCAGGGGCTGTCCTAGCGGGTGGCATGAAACCGTCTCCCTGGAGAGGTTAAGGAAGAGCAACTCCAGGGGTTCCATTTACTATGTGCTCCGGAGCTGGGCTACACGGTGGTACTAAGGAGGCAGCGCTAGTCACCTGACCTACAAGGTCGGGCTTCTGTTAGTTACCTAAGAGATGTTACCAGGACAAGCAGCAGCCTGGTGGGAAGATGATGCCTCCAGGTCTCTACCTCCTCTCTCTCTCCCTCCTTCTCTCCACCTCCCCTCTCTCTCCCTCCCTCTCTCCACCTCCCCTCTCTCTCTTCCTCCCTCTCCACCTCCCCTCTCTCTCCCTCCCTCTCTCCACCTCCCCTCTCTCTCCCTCCCTCTCTCCACCTCCCCTCTCTCTCTCCCTCCCTCTCTCCACCTCCCCTGTCTCCACCTCCCCTCCCTCTGTCCCTCCCTCTCTCCACCTCCCCTCCCTCTGTCCCTCCCTCTCTCCACCTCCCCTCTCTCTCCCTCCCTCTCTCCACCTCCCCTCTCTCTCTTCCTCCCTCTCCACCTCCCCTCTCTCTCTTCCTCCCTCTCCACCTCCCCTCTCTCCCTCCCTCTCTCCACCTCCCCTGTCTCCACCTCCCCTCCCTCTGTCCCTCCCTCTCTCCACCTCCCCTCTCTCTGTCCCTCCCTCTCTCCACCTCCCCTCTCTCTGTCCCTCCCTCTCTCCACCTCCCCTCTCTCTCCCTCCCTCTCTCCACCTCCCCTCTCTCTCCCTCCCTCTCTCCACCTCCCCTCTCTCTGTCCCTCCCTCTCTCCACCTCCCCTCTCTCTCTCCCTCCCTCTCCACCTCCCCTCTCTCCACCTCCCCTCACTCCACCTTCCCTCTCTCTCCCTCTCTCTCCTCCCCTCTCCCTCCCTCCACCTCCCCTCCCTCTCTCCACCTCCCCTCCCTCTCTCCCTCCCTCCCTCCCTCTCTCCACCTTCCCTCTCCCTCCCTCCACCTTCCCTCTCCCTCCCTCCACCTTCCCTCTCCCTCCCTCTCCACCTTCCCTCTCTCCTCCCCTCTCCCTCCCTCTCTCCACCTCCCCTCTCTCCCTCCCTCCCTCCCTCTCTCCACCTTCCCTCTCTCCCTCCCTCTCTCCACCTTCCCTCTCTCTCTCTCCCTCCCTCTCTCCAGCTCATGCTATCTGGGTCTCCCTCTGACTTTCTAGGTCCTGTCTGAGATTTTGCTCTTTCTGTTCCCCTCTCTGGGCCTCCCCGTCACCACTCTGTGTATCTCTGGATCCCTGTCCTTCAACCCAGAGCTCTGTCTCTGGACCTCAGTGGCAATCTCTAAATCTCTCTCCTTCCTCAAGTCAAAAAGTCGACACACTCAGGAGGTTCCCTTGAGTGGCTGAACTACCCCAGGTTGTATAACTCAAGTCTGTTTTCTCAATGTTATCCCTGACCCTCTGGGTCAACCCTGTTTGAAAATGACAACCTTTGCTGATCTCTACATACTGGTCTGCCAGGGAAGGACCCGTGGTCCACAACCCTGTTCAGAATCCCCCATCTCCCTTGGCCAAAATATCCGGCATCTACCAATGGGGCTGTGGCATGAGGGTGTCAATCTCAGGAAAGGAATCTTGAGTCGCCTGGGCCTGCAGCCCTCGTACTTTCAGAACAGAGGTTCTCAGAATTTAATGCGCTTCAGAATTACACTGAGGACTTGTTAAAACATAGTTGCTGGGCCCAGAGTTTCTGATTCAGTCTAGGGTGGGGCTCAAAAATGTGCCTTTCAAACAAGTTCCCAGGTGATGGGTACGTGCCTGACCCAAGGCCACATTTCAGAAGCACTGCTCTAGAAAAGAAGACTCTGTAAGCGGCTCTTACGCTGGGCGCGGTGGCTCACGCCTGTAATCCCAGCTACTTGGGAGGCTGAGGTGGGAGAATGGCTTGAACCTGGGAGGCAGAGGTTGCAGTGAGCCGAGATGGCGCCCCTGCACTCCAGCCTGGGTGAGAGAGACACTGGCTCCCACCTCAAGATCGTTTTAGTTGGTCCAGTGTAAGCCTGGGTATCTGGACTTTTTTATTTTTTATTTTTATTTTTTGAGACGGCGTCTTGCTCTGTCACCCAGGCTGGAGTGCAATGGCGCAATCTCGGGTCACTGCAACCTCTGCCTCCCAGGTTCAAGTGATTCTCCCGCCTCAGCCTCCCGAGTAGCTGGGATTACAGGCACATGCCACCATGCCCAGCTAATTTTTGTATTTTTAGTAGAGACGGGGTTTCACCATGTTGGCCAGGCTGGTTTTGAACTCCCTACCTCAGGTGATCCGCCCACCTCGGCCTCTGAGAGTGCTGGGATTACAGGTGCAATGGCGCAATCTAGGCTCACTGCAGCCTCTGCCTCCCGGGTTCAAGTGATTCTCCCGGCCCGGCCTGGCCTCTAATTTAAAAAAAATTTTTTTTTTTTAAAGTTCCTCAGGTAGGCCAGGCGCAGTCGTCACGCCTGTAATCCCAGCACTTTGGGAGACTGAGGCGAGCGGATCACCTGAGGTCAGGAGTTCGACACCAGCCTGGCCAACATGGTGAAACCCCGTCTCTACTAAAAATACAAAAATTAGTCGGGCGTGGTGGCGGGCGCCTGTAATCCCAGCTACTCGGGAGGCTGAGGCGGGAGAATCACTTGAACCCCGGGAGGCAGAGGCTGCAGTGAGCCTAGATTGTGCCACTGCTCTCCAGCCTGGGGGACAAGAGCAAGTCTTCGTCTCAACAACAACAACAATAACAACAAGTTCCTCAGGTGACTCTGATGTGCAGCCAAGTTGGAAAGTCATCGCTAGATCCGCGGTGTGCAAAGTGAACTGCGGACCGTGGACTGCGGCACTTGTTAGAAAAGCAGAATTTGCATTTTAACACATTCCTAGGTGATTCCGGAGATGTCTGAGAAGCGATACTTTGTCCAGGGGCCACAGTTTGAATAGCAGAGCTCTAGAACAATAACTCTAGGCTTCATTCCCGTTGTCTGTGTGTGGGCCTACGAATATGCATTTTCGCAAGCATTCCTCCTCCCCCTTGCCTCAGACCATTCTGATGCGGGTGGTGCTGAACGGCTCCATCCTCCTTCACGTTCACCTCTCCCTGGGATTTATCTTACTTTCCACCACCTAGACAGGAAGGGGCGAATCTGGCTTCCCATCTCGGTTGTGTGACCCTGGGCAAATGCCTCCCAGTTCGTGGAAGTCTCAGTGTCTAGTAAGTTTTCAATCACAAGTCATTCCTCACATTCATTCATCTATTCCTTTGACAAATGGTTACTGACTACTTCCTGCGTGCTAAGTGCTGGAGATGCAAAATCCAGACAGGGAAACCGAATAATTACGAAAATGACGGTAGACGTACAAAAATAAATCCTAACGAACAAGGCGCGCAGGAGCGCTCCGCCCGGGAGGGAGGTCAGGGAAGTTTTCTCTCCAAGAAGACAACAGAGCTGAGACCTGAAACGAGCAGGCATTAGGGAGCCACCCGTCTCCTCTGTACCTTCTGCAGCGTCCTCAACACACTAAGGAAGCGGAGACGCAGAGGAGAATGACTGTCCTACCATCTGGTCGCCTAACCAGGCAGGGGCAGGACAAAAACTCCATGCCTCACGCTTCCCAACCAATTCTGCTATGCACGGTGCCAGAGACTTAAAGCAGTGTCTCTGGTCCCTTTCTTCTTTCACTCAGCAAATAATGAATTTCAGAGATGTGCCAACATAGAGGCACTTGGAGAAAGACGAGGCAGCTGAGAGGGAAGCTGCTTACCTGGCCGGGACGCAACGGTTGCGACCAAGTCCCACTTCTGCCAGCTACATACACCCTCTTTCACACGCTCTACGAGCAGCTACCGCCCACTCGCCACGCTATTGGTCAAACTAGCATGAATGATAACTTTTAGGGCCAACGAAGAAAAAGGGGTGGACTTTCTTGCCCAGCTCCTCCCACTTGGCCCTGTGGCTGTTTTGATTGGCAGATGACTTCGGCTCGGCCCCCGCTTTAAAGGCACCTGTCTGTCTCCCATTAGGTACGCGGCCCCTAACGCCCACACTCCATGCCTTCCTCCGCTTTCCCCACCCACTTCCAGGACCAACCAATGACTTCAAGGCAGAATATGCCCCCGCAACCAATTAAAAAGAGCTCTAAACTTGACGGACGACTTCCCGCCCCTGGACTGTCGTAGCTCCTCCCCCAGACCAATTGTTTTAAGAGAGGGGGGCGGATACATCCAATCAGCACGACACAGGTCTCTTGATTGACGTTCGGGTCCTCGCGCTGGCGTGTTGTGCCCTGAGGCGGGAGGAGGAGGAGGAGCGGGGAGGAAAACCTGAGCCAATCCTAGCAGCCTGCGCGGGAGGCCAATCGAACGCCGCGCCTTGGAGCGATCACCCAATCCGCGAAAGGGGGCAGGGCGCATCCCTGCCAGGAACCAATAGAAAGCCTCCAAGGGTCAGGAGCGACGTTCAGCAGGAGCAATGACTGGCCTATATTCGGGACTCGGGGGCGGGTCGGCGCCAGAGACGAGAAGAGAGGAGGGGAGGCCTCCTCCGCCGCCGCCATCTTGGACCGGGCCCGGTCAGCTTCCGCGGAGCCATCGGCAGACGCCGCGGCCTCCCTTGAGCCCCGACCCCCGTCGTCAGAACAACCCCGGGCCCACTCCCCCAACCCCACTTCCGCTTCGCGCCGCTATCGCGATAGCGCCCGGGCCCGGGGCGCGAGAAAAAGGCGGCGGGCGCTCGCCTCCCCCGCCTGTCGCGATACGCTCCTCAGCGGCGGCGCCAGCTCCTGTGGTGAGAGCGTCAGGCTCGACTGGGCCGGACCCCTTCCCTTCCTCCCCCCGGCGCCATCGGCCGCCCTCCCCGCCGCCTCCCGCCCTGGCGACACCGCCGTCTGTCGCGACATGGCCTCCCCTCGCCTGCCCCCTGCCGCCGCCTCTGCAGCGCGGGGCTCCCGGCGGGGGGCGGCTCCCTCCCTCTCGCCCTCCCGTTCCTGCGCCTCTTTCACGTTCCTCAGCGCCTCCCGGGGGTCCTTCCGCGACCCGGACCCCGGGCCCCGCCCGCCGCCGCCTCCCCGCGTGGCATCGCGTCGGGCCCCCCGGTAGGGGTGTGAGGGTGCGAAGCCTCCCGGGCGCGAGGTGCCCGCCCCTCTCCGCGTCGGTATTGGCTCCTGGCTGGAAGGATGGAGGCGCCCCTGGTCCCAGGTGCCCGCCCTCTCGGGGCTCAGGTGCCTGCCCCCCTCGGCCTCGGTCCTTCGCGTTGTGGGGCAGCCTCCGCGCCGGGGCTTCTCCCTCGACGGTGGCGGGGAGGGGGGGTGGTGGTCGGGACGAGGACCCCAGCTGGGTGGGGGAGTCACCCTTCCCAGGACCGAGGCCGCCCTCCGCATCCCTCCTCACTGCTCCCGGGAGCGCAGCCTCCCCTGGATCTCAGGTTCCAGCTGCCCGTCTGTATCGGATGGGAGCCTCTTGGGAGAGGAGTGGAGGAGAAACTCCCCGTTAGTTGGAGCCTTTGCCGAAGTTTCCACCTCTGTAGTCTGCAGCTCTTCCCTCTCATAGCGAGTAGCGCCCTGGGTGGCTCCAGCCTCGCCATCCCGCTGCACTGGGCGCCTGCCTTTTTGGGGGAGTTTGGCTTTCCCCCACCTGGGGTACAGGACCGTCCTCAGTGTGGCCCACGTCTGGTCTCAGCTCTCACACTTCTTTGATCCTGGCGTCTGCCCCTGGCTTTGCAGCCTTGAACTCCCCTGCATCGTGACTCTCCGACCTTCTGGGTGTGGGCGTCTCCCAGTGATATCAGGACCACTGTGGTCTTGTTGCTGGGGGCTGCTGGGATCCCCTGGCGCTCAGGTGCCTGGTGAAAGACACTAAGCCGCCACGCTGTCCATGTTAGTGAGCTCCCACTGCGGGCAGCACCAGCCCCTCTTTCTGAGCAGTCCCTGCCTCTCAGTGCAGGGCGGCCACCCACCCCGGGGTGAGCTCTCCTGTCCTTTTGGTGAGGGGTTTTGATGTCTCCCCTCCCTCCCTTCACCCCTGCCTGAGTATGAGGCTTCTTCCATCTTCACACCAGTCTCCTCCTTTAGGGTGTCAGCTCTCCAAGGACCAAGAAGCCCACTGCCCTTGATATTTGCATCAGATCCCACACTGTGGGTTTGTTGACTTCCCATCTACCCTTACGCTGGGTGTCAGCAGTTGGAGAACAAGGGTTTCGCCTTCTGGCCCCGCTGCTGGTACCCCATGAGAGTAGGAAGCTTCCTAGACCCGGGTTCCTGTACTGCGAGGTGGGGGCTCTTCCCTCTGGGGCTGTGCCTTCTCTCCAGGGTAAGGACCCTTTCTTGGTGTCACCTCCCCCAGGGATAAGGTTCTTGCCATCCTTGGTATTGGTATGGCTGCTTTTCTGGATTTGAGGTGTCCACGCCTCTGCATGTGTCCCCACCGTAAGGCTGAGGACCCCTCTCGGATGCAGGTGCCCCCGGCTCATGCTTCCAAAACCCCCTCTTGATTTGTCACTGTATGGGGTAAGGCATAGTTTCCTGGCTGTGTGGATGTAAGATACCTGAGTCTCAAGCGGGAGACTCCACTGTAGACCCTGTCCCTGGGACCAGAGACTTCTCTGGTGTAGACTTTCCAAGGTGGGAGATTCCAGCCCCCCACCCTTGGCATGGGGCATCTCAGTGGAGATGACTACCTCTACCCCAGGCCCTAACGCATCCTTCTTCTGGAGTCTCAGAGCCTCTGTGTGGCCACGTCAGCAGCCACCTGGGTTAAGGATCACCCTTCAACATCACTTCTCAGAGCTCCTTGCTGCAGAGGCGGAAGCTCTCCCAGATCAAAGGTGCCTCATGACAAAGACCACTCTGTGGGCACATGACGGCCCCCAAGGTTAAGGACCACCCGGTGTTAGTTTCCCAGGGCTGACCTCCTGCCCCTCCCTCCTCGAGTCTTTGTGTGGTGGTATCATCTTCCCTGAGATGAAGTCTGGGGGGCTCTTCTTTACTGGTTTTGGCTCTGATTTTAGCGTGTTGGCTCCTGTGAGGCTGGTGTCCTGCTCACCTCCCCCCGCCCCGCCACCCGCCTTGTGGGTCCCTTCCCTGTGGGGATGTGTGTTCCTCTTGGGTAAGTCTCCTCCTGGGCCGAGGTTCCCAGATTCCTCAGTGCTCTTGGAGAGCCTTTGCTGCTGGAGCACAGGTTCTTCACGCCTGAGAGTGGACCTGCGATCACCACCTTCCTTGGAGGATCTTGGTGGATGCCCCCCTGACTACAGCAAATGGGGCTCTTTCTTCTCTGGCGGCGTCTCTGCTTCGAGACTCAGGCTCCAGCTTCCCTTCTCTCTGGTCCTTTGCTGGGGGGACCAGAGGTACAGATACCCTCATGATATAAGGATTTTCTTAGCGGGGAAGGTGTTGTCTCTACTGTGGCTAAGGCTCCAGCCTCTCTAGGGGACAAGTACCCTGGGCCTCTGGCACTTGCCCCTTCTCTGTGGAGGAGCTGCCTCCTCACTGGGTCTCAGCTGTAGCCGACTTCGATGTCACACTGTTCTGTCTGAAACATCACCTCCCTGGGTTAGCGCTCTTGTTCCCCTCCTTCTGGCTTGTGACCCCTCCAGGACTTCCTTCTCTTGCTGCCACAGTGTGGTCTCCTCTCTGTGGGTATTCTTCCTCTGCACTAGGATACCAGTCCTTTCCGTGTGGAGACACAGGGAGGGCGTCACCTGCCTAAGGTGTTGATTGCCTTGTTTAGGGGTGTAGACCATGAGACCTCTTCTCTCTCTGGGCTGGAGCACCTGCCCATGACCCTCTGTTGGGTTCTTGGGATGGAAAGAGGGAGTGTAAACTCTCGTTTCACATTCTTGTTCCCCCTATGCAGTAAGAGGCTTTTCTGTGTTGGGGTGTTGGACTTTGGTGAGGATCCCTGCACACCTGAGCTCTGGTGTCCAGGCCCTTGCCTTGTGTGAGCTCCCTGGGTCAAAGGGGCTTTCCCCTCCTCAGCCTGAATCCCCACTGTGGCACCTTCTCCTGGGTCCTTTTGTTGGTTGCTTTGCCTTCTTAGAGATTCCCCAGGTAGGGCGTGATAGCTGACCTGGGCGGGGGCTGCTGCGGCTTTCTTTAGGTTGGGCCTTTTACTGAGGAGATTTAAATTCCCTCAAGTGTAAGGTAGCACCCCTACCTATTATCACCCAGAATGGGTCCCTGCGGTGTTGGGAAAATTCTCCCTGGGGGTAAGGTACCAGCCCTGTCCTTTATGGGCTTCTTGTTCTAAAGCATATCCGTCCCATATGGTTGCTGCTAGTCACATGTGGTGATTAGTAACTAGTTAAAAATGAAAAATTCAGTTCCTCCATTACACTTGCCACATTTCAGATGTTCAGTGGCCAACAGATATGCGCAAATAGAGTGTTTCCAGCATTGCAAAGTTCTGTTGGATAGCACTGTTTGCCAGATGTTCCCTTCTTTGTGGGTGAGGACTCTTTTGGTGTGACTTCCCTCTGTATTGAGGCTCTTGTTCCTCAGTATGGGGCTGTTTCTGTCTTTACAGTAAGTGACTACTCCAGGGTTCCCTGCCCTGCACACGTAGAGTGGGAGCGGCCCGTGGATCCCAGGGAACTGTGCTTTTCATTGTAGGCCCCCTCCCTGGAGGGGAAGAGGGCAATCTCCGCTGGTATCTCAGAAGTCTTCTTCTGAGGCATAAGCCTCTCTTCCCAGGGCTCCCCTGGTCTCGCTGTCAGGCCCTAAGGTATGTCTTCCCTTGGACTAAAGCTCCTTGGAACTCCCTTTTGACCTCAGTCTTCTCTGGGTTCCAGGTAACTTCCTTTAAAATAAAGACGCTCCTCTCTTGAAGTTTTGGGTTCCTGCCCTGATGGTCTATGTCTCCCTGACTCTAAATTACCAATCCACTTGCTATGGGATTCCTCCATGAGTGCAGATCGGCTCCCTCACAGCTGCGGTACCTTTGCACCCTCTTATCTTAGTAAGATTTCTGTCTTCTCCCAGGTCTCTCTTGGGTACTGCCTTCTGCCCCCAAATCTCTAAGCCTTCTTGGTATTAGCTTCTTTGGGTTAGGAGTGTTATTTCCTTTTGGTTTAAGGATCCTGCTCTGGAATAAATGTCTTGGTGGTTTGAGTCCCTTCTACTTGGCATTCAGCCCTGTCTGCATGAGCGGGTTCAGCTCTTCACAGCTTTCGGCATCTCTGCTCGCCGTCGTTTTCCCCCACCCCCAATCTTTCTTCTCCTACCTACAGCTTACACACACACACACACACACACACACACACACACACACGCCCTTCTCTGTGAGCTGCCAGTTTCATTTGTCTCCTGACTTGTCTGAGGGATGACCTCTCCTAGCCACCTCTGCCCAGCCCCTCTGAGTAGGAAGTGTGATTTCCAGGGCTAATGCCTCCATCCCAGTCATCAGCTGTGTGCAGCATGACTGTCCTGCTCTGAAAAACCTTTTTGAGTGTATTCTGGGGAGAAGGTACTCCATGCTCTAGGAATTTTCCACTTCCTGAGTCAGAGGCACACAAAAAAGTATGTAACTTTTCTTGTTTCAACAAACTTATGGGGTCCCCTGTTGGCCAGACACTATGCTGGGCAGTCAAGCGAGCATCAGGAGAACTGGGGCTGGTCTCTTGTCAGATAGCAAATGCTTCTTCTCTTTACCAGTCCCACCTACCTCACTATGCTGACTAGGTCCATGTCTCTGGGTTTTTACCAGCCAGGGAATACGTGTTAATTCCTCTCCAATCTCTCCTAGCAGCGTCCGTCTCCAAGAGAGTATGAAGAGAGTGCGTCTGTAGGGCAGGGAAGATGGCGGACAAGCGCAAACTCCAAGGTACTAGACTGACTTCCTGCTGCACCTGTAGCCACATGCTCCCTCTTCTGAGGACTGCTCTTTAGATACCTGCCACCTGGGCAGGATTCTCACAGCCTTGTTCCTCCCTGGCCAGGTGAGATTGATCGCTGCCTCAAGAAGGTGTCCGAGGGCGTGGAGCAGTTTGAAGATATTTGGCAGAAGGTACAGGGGCTGAGACCCTAATAATCTGGGTCTTCAGAGAGGAGGGCACAGGAAGGCGGCTCAGGACCTCTGGGTGTTGACCAGCGGGAGGGGCTACATATGCAGATGCTGAGGACCTAAGAGAATCAGCTCTAAGATGGATTGGGGGTAGGGGTTGGGGGGGGTCCTCGAGTCCCTAGCATAAGGAAGAATCACTGGAGTGGGTACTGGGACATCCCCTCCCACACTGACTTCTCAATTCTCTCCATCCCTCAGCTCCACAATGCAGCCAACGCGAACCAGAAAGAAAAGTATGAGGCTGACCTAAAGAAGGAGATTAAGAAGCTACAAGTGAGGGGGCTGGGGGCCTGGACGCCTTTGTCCTGAGGGTAGAGGGAACTGGGAGAGTGGACTGCTGGGTCCCAGGGAGAAGGAGCTGTGGGCCCCAGTTCCTGGGTCCTGAGGTCTGACTTTCTTGCTTTTCCCATCTGCAGCGGCTGAGGGACCAAATCAAGACATGGGTAGCGTCCAACGAGATCAAGGACAAGAGGCAGCTTATAGACAACCGCAAGCTCATTGAGACGGTAGGAGCCCAGAGCCTGAGTCCCAGAGAGGTGGGAAGGTCACCAGATTCTTGAGATCCCAAGGGGCGGAGGCAGAGCGGCCAGACCCCAGAGGTCCTCAAGAGAAGTAAGGTTTCTGCACCTAAGGGAAGTGAAGAGGCAGCGGACTCAGAGCTCAGAAAGTAGGGTCACGAGGCTCAGGTCGGAGTGTCTGCTGGCCCTTAGTCAGCTCCTTTCCCACCTTTGAGAGCCCCCCTGCCAACTGCACTCTCTACAGCAAATGGAACGGTTCAAAGTTGTGGAACGAGAGACCAAAACCAAAGCTTACAGCAAAGAGGGCCTGGGCCTGGCCCAGAAGGTAGATCCTGCCCAGAAGGAGAAGGAAGAGGTTGGCCAGTGGCTCACGGTGAGTTGGGGTAGAGAAGAGGAGGTGAACTCTGAGGATCCTGAGCCCTGGGTGTAGGCGGAACCCTAGCTGATGGGCTTCCTCTTCCTCTCCCTCCCCTAGAATACCATCGACACGCTCAACATGCAGGTGGACCAGTTTGAGAGTGAAGTGGAGTCACTGTCAGTGCAGACACGCAAGAAGAAGGGCGACAAGGATGTGAGTGAGGGAGACCCGACACCTTTGGGATGGGGATGGGCATGGGAATGGGCTGGCCAGCAGGAGGCCAGTCATTTATGCTCCTGGGAGTTGGGGCCTGGATTCCTCAGGCGGACAGGGCCAACAGCCGGGATTAGGGATTTGAGAGACAGGATTGGGAGGGCTTAGCAGCTGCACGCGTGGGGCAGGAAGGAGGTCAGACAGAATCTCAGGGTCCCCTGGGTGTCTGGGTAGACCGTGGGGCCTTTGTGAAGAGGAGCGACTTGGGGGAAGGTGAGTGCAGGTTGAGCTTGGGCCACAGAGTAAAAGTGAGACCTGAAGGACACCCATGGCAAGAGGCCTCCTGGCACCCAGAGGGCCCTGGTCCTAGGGAGAGCACAGTGGGTAGAGACAAGGCAGAACATGGAGAAGGCAGAGAACCAGGCCTGAAGGAAGACAGGAGTCTGGGACAAAGCTGGATGTTGGGGTCCCAGGTTCTAAAATCCGGGATTGTGGGGTATGAGTTCAAAGGGATACAAACTGTACAGACTTGCTGAAACCAGAAAGACAGGGAGGGGAGAGCCGGGTCCTCAGGGAAGCTGTGGGTGGGAGAGGGTCAGGAAGTGGAAGATGACAGGGTTGGGTGTCAGACTCTGAGGGGTTTGGGAACCAGGGGCTTTCGGGGAGATGATGGGTCCTTGAACAGAGCAGAGATTTGGAACCAAGGCTAAGATGTTAAATCCTAAAGGGGCCTTGAGGGGAGGGCAGGAGCGAGGCTTAGGAATCTGGGCTCTCTCAGGGATAAATGGGTAGGGTTGGGGGCCTAGTGATGACAGATATCACAATTCTAAACAGCAAGCTCCTCACAAATGGGGGTTATCATTGTTACTGCTGGAGCAGGTCGGAGGGTATCTGTATGCCAGAGGCAGTCACAGTGGTGGGCGGGCTCAGTTGAGAAATCTGGGCTGTCAGGTGAGGTGCAGATGGAGGCCAAGTCGTGGGATGGCACAAGGACCTCTGGGTCTTTTAGAGGTTTCCAAGGACTCCTGGAGCCAGAAAGGTGTGGGGAGAGGAGGGAGCAGTGGGATCCCAAGATGTCAAGGCTAAGATTGGTCCCCACAGGGCTCAGAGGGTGGGTGGACCCCATACTGCCCCACCCCGAAGGGGATGGCGTGGAGGCTTTGGGTCTCCACAGGGGTCAGGGACTGAGGACAGGTTCTGTGGGGGCAGGAGGGGCCAAGCAGGTGCTCTGCAGCCCCTGAGCCTGGCCCTGGGCTCGCCAGCAGAAGCAGGACCGGATTGAGGGCTTGAAGCGGCACATCGAGAAGCACCGCTACCACGTGCGCATGCTAGAGACCATCCTGCGCATGCTGGACAATGACTCCATCCTCGTTGACGCCATCCGCAAGATCAAGGACGACGTTGAGTACTATGTTGACTCATCCCAGGACCCCGACTTCGAGGAGAACGAGTTTCTCTACGATGACCTGGACCTCGAGGACATTCGTGAGGCCCTGGGGCTGATCGTGGCACAGGAAGTGAGGGCCCAGAATGGGCTGTGTGAGCCAGCTAAGCATGCCCTTCTTCTGCCCCCACAGCACAGGCGCTGGTCGCCACCTCCCCTCCCAGCCACAGCCACATGGAGGATGAGATCTTCAACCAGTCCAGCAGCACGCCCACCTCAACCACCTCCAGCTCTCCCATCCCGCCCAGCCCAGCCAACTGTACCACGGTGAGGCCCCACGGGACACTAGTACCTTGTGTTTCCAGCAGGGCAGGACTCGAGGAGACAAATCTGGGTCACTCCAAAGTGGCTATGGGAGCGTAATTGAGGAAACACAGATCTAGGTATCCAGGGTCTAGGCTCTTGGAGCACACGCTAAGGTCCTATATCTGGGTCCCTAAAGGACATAAAGAGCAATAGGGTGCATCCCGCGCCAGTTTAGGTCCTGGATCTGGGAAGTGGGAGGGGCCGGTGCCTGGGCTGCCTGAGGAGGCTGGGTAGCTGGCCACCTTGGGCAGGGATCCAAGGGTTGGCTTCCCTGTGGAGAGCAGGTTCCCAGATCCTTAAGAGGCTGGTGGGTCAGTGCTGGCTCCCAGAAAACAAGAAGACTGGAGAGCCTGAATTGAGATGGTTTCTCCAGGCAGATTAAGGACAGCCATTTGACCAGCTCTGGGGCCGCAATGGCAGTCAATTGGGCCCAGGTCCCCGGGGCATTCAGAGATTGGCGGTTCTCCATCAGAGCCCCAGAGGTCACACAGGTTTCTATTCTGCCTCCCCTACCTCAGGAAAACTCTGAAGATGATAAGAAGAGGGGACGTTCCACAGACAGTGAAGTCAGCCAGGTGGGTGTGAGCCTGGACCGGGTGGGCACGCCATTCACTCCTCTGTTGCTTCCCAAAGGCATCTTGAGGCCTGAGCGCCGGCCACTGTGCTGGGCTGGTGGACACAGGTGGCTCAGAAATCAGTGCTGCCCTGAGGGCAGGTGGGCAGGGCAAGTGGACAGGTGACTGGTGCTGTGGTCAAGGGGGTAGCACACAGGTCACCCTTGGCCTGGCCAGGCAGTCAGGAGATGCTGCTGTGGAGTGCCCTGGGCTTCACAGTCAGGTGAGTTTGCCTGGCAGGGAGAGGTGGCAGCCAGTAACATGGGCAAGTTGTGACAGAAAGTTTGGAAGTGAGGAGAGATGAGTCTGGCCAGGTCTGCAGGGCCAGGGCCCAACTGTGAGCACAGGGACTGGGACTGTCAGGCTGAGGGGCTCAGGCTTTGTGGACCTGAGTGGCCTCCAGAGTCCAATAAGCCTAGGAAGCGATGGGGCCTTTGCTGTGCTGATAATACACACTGCAAATTTCTGAGAGGAGACGGTGGCGGGCAGTGCTTCTTCAACTCCTTTAACATCTCCCAGGACAGGAGCACGCTTTCGGAAACGCTGCTACAGAACAATGTTAGGCAGGAGCAGCATGGGCCTGAGGCCCCTCTGTGGGCTAACGGGATGGATGGTTCCAAGGGGACACCCTGAGTGGGCATTGAGGAGGCTGGTGTGGAGACTAAGGGGACCCGCAGGTAGTAGTGAGGGCGGGCAACAGGGCCAGGAGGTGATGAGGAGAGACACTGAGGCAGGTACTCCAGGGGCCAGGCTGGGCTCTGCCACCTTCCCAGGCCCCCACTGCCAAGCAGCGATGCCCAGGAGAGAAGTGGGTAGTCAGTCCTGTTGGGCGCTTGGTAAGCGCAAGGTGCCTGTGGGGTGGCTGGAAAGAAGCCCAGGAGGTGGTTAGGCTCAGCAGCCGGAGTGCTGTCCACAGATTGCCTGCGGTAGGGATACCATGAGCACATTTACCCTCCCACCACTTTCTGGAGTGCTGGTAACTTCCAGCCCTGTGAGTAGCTTCTGTGACCCTTCAGGTGACATTCAGAATTACTATCCAATTTCCAGCTGTTTTTCCTTCTACTCTTGGACATTAGGCGGCTCCAGCTAATCTCATATTGAGAACACTTAAGTGTTTCCCACTAGTCCTCTGGCTTCCAACAGATGGATCTTCTCTGGCTGACAACCTAAGTTGTGTGTCAGATCCCTGTGGGGGTGTCCATGGGGCGGTGTCCAGGCAGGACTTGGGAAGCTGGGCAGGCTGGAAATCAGTGTGAGTGTTTTAAGCATGAAGGTGATTGAAGCCATGAGGGTGAGTAAGGTCACCCAGGTCCCCAAGAGGGCAGGAGCAGGTGGGGGCAGCGAGGCCAGAGAGGAGGCTGCTGGGACAAAGATGGAGCCTGAGGTGGGGGTGGTGAGGGAGACCAGCTGGCCCACTGGGTCCTGACCCTCTGCTCTCTCCCACCCGCAGTCTCCAGCCAAAAACGGCTCCAAGCCTGTCCACAGCAACCAGCACCCTCAGTCCCCAGCTGTGCCGCCCACCTACCCCTCCGGCCCCCCGCCTGCTGCCTCTGCCTTGAGCACCACTCCTGGCAACAATGGGGTCCCCGCCCCCGCAGCACCCCCAAGTGCCCTGGGCCCCAAGGCCAGTCCAGCTCCCAGCCACAACTCGGGCACCCCTGCTCCCTATGCCCAGGCTGTGGCCCCACCAGCTCCCAGTGGGCCCAGCACGACCCAGCCCCGGCCCCCCAGCGTCCAGCCTAGCGGAGGCGGAGGCGGCGGCAGCGGAGGTGGAGGGAGCAGCAGCAGTAGTAACAGCAGTGCCGGTGGAGGGGCTGGCAAGCAGAATGGCGCCACCAGTGAGTGAGGAGGCAGCGGGGTGGGGGGCGTGGGCGGGGCTGGGCAGCAGGCAGCAGCCCTTTCCATTTACTCTTTGTTCCCAGGTTACAGCTCAGTTGTGGCAGACAGCCCGGCAGAGGTGGCTTTGAGCAGCAGTGGGGGCAACAATGCCAGCAGCCAGGCCTTGGGCCCCCCTTCCGGCCCCCACAACCCACCTCCCAGCACCTCGTGAGTGTCTCGGCCATCGGCAGGGTTGGGATGGCAGCCTTTTGAAACAGAGAGGCGCAGGCGCCTCACCCCCGCATCGGTGGGTTCTGAACCCCCCGCCCTTGCTGCTGGGAATGGCCAAGCGCTATCCTCCATCTCCCTCGGGTGTTACACCCCCACTTCTTTCCAGCAAGGAAACTACATCAGCCTCCCTGCTTTGCCCTTCAGAACATTCTAAAATACGTTCTCATCTAAGTGGAAGTTTTCTCAAGAGCCCCATACCCTTTCCTCCCCATTTCTGTTACCTGCCTGAGGCCAATTGACTGCCACCGGAGGGTCACTGTTTCACTTTTCAAAGTGAATTGTCCCGAAGTCCTTATTCCTCTGCAGCCACTCCTTCAAATCTTAGCTCAGACCATTCCACTGGGTCTGCCTGTTTCCCGAAGAATGCCCTAAGAAAGATCAGTGTGCACAAAGGAAAGGCCTGCTTCCTGCCCCCTCACCCCAGCTCCAGCTGGCCTGCCCAAGGGGGAGTGGGCCCTGTGAACACCTGCCCAGGGCAAGTGGTTTTGATCAGCCTGTGGCCTGGTGGAGCACCCGAGAATCCTCACCCCCACCCCCACAGCTCTGCTCTGCTGATGAGAAACCATTCCAAAGATTGGGCTCTGCCTTTGTTTGCCCAGAGAACCACTTCTTTCTCCCATCTGTCTGCCCTCACCTGCCCCTCTCAGATCCCATCTGATCTGTGCAGTCTCCCCTCTCTCCAGCCAGGCCTCTCTGCCCATCCCACCCTCAGGGACCCTCCTCTCAACCCCCTCTTCCATGCTCTCTCTCCAGGAAGGAACCCAGTGCGGCAGCCCCAACGGGGGCTGGGGGCGTGGCCCCAGGCTCAGGGAACAACTCAGGGGGACCCAGCCTCCTGGTGCCACTGCCTGTGAATCCTCCCAGCTCCCCAACGCCCAGCTTCAGTGATGCCAAGGCAGCCGGTGCCCTGCTCAATGGGCCTCCACAGTTCAGCACCGCCCCAGAAATCAAGGTGGGCTCCTCGGACATCCCCCGAGCCTCTGTGTCCTGACTCTGTTGTTTCTTTCCTCCAGGTCTCTAGCTGCACCCCCTGCCCCCACCCTCTTTCTGGATCTCTTTCTCTGGCTTTCTGTCCCCTTCTCACACTTGCTCTTTCTCCAGGTCTTTCTGTACCACCCTCCCCGTGACCTTGATCTCTGGGGGCTCTCATACCTCCTCTCTTGTTCCCTCCAAAGCTCTGTTTCTCTGGGTCTCTTTTCCTTTCTCTTGGTTGCACTTGTTGCTTGCTCTCTCTGGGTCTCCATCTTCATCCCCCCCGCAGGCCCTCAGTTTCTGTCCCCGTTTGTCCTCACAAGGCATAGACTGGTGTACTTTCTGCACAAGTAGAAAGACTGGTTGGGTGAATGCAGCCTGGTTCCACCCTTTAGGAAGCTTCCCTGCTGGGGCAGCTGCAGGGAAGGTTGCGGTGGGCCCACCGAGGGGCATCTGACCTGACCTGGGAGACAGGCCCAGGAAGGTCTGAGAGGGGGTGATGTTTAAGCTGAGACCTGGACCAGGCAGGGGGGCTAACAGCTGCAGGAAGGGCTTCAGGAGGTGCTTTAGGAGGAGCATGCATCTGCCTGTGTGCTTAGGAAGCTGGGCAGGATGCAGCAGAGAGGAGAGAGGTGTCCACTCTGCAGGAGACAGTGCCACCAGCTGCAGGGCTGAGATAGTGGGTGTAGCAGGATAGGACGGTGGGGTCCTGATCATCGAGGGTCAGGAGCTGGGGCTTGGCTTGTGAGCCAGTATACTGTAGCGCAGCTTCCATGGGGGGACCAGTGTGTATGCCCAGGCTGTCCAGGAGGCAGTGTGCGCGCCCAGGCTGTCCAGGAGGCAGTGTGCGCGCCCAGGCTGTCCAGGTCCAAGTCTTGGCATTGTCCTTTCTGTGCCTTCATCTGGGAAACGGCAATAGTCACGATTATACCTACTATGTAGGGTTATTTGGAAGACTAAATCATCCTCATAAAGCTCTTGGAACAGTTTCTGGCCCAACAGAAGCATTAATTTTTTTTTTTTTTCTTTTTTGAGACAGAGTCTTGCTCTGTCACCCAGGCTGGAGTGCAGTGGTGCAATCTCAGCTGAATGCAACATCCGCCTCCTGGGTTCAAGCGATTCTCCTGCCGCAGCCTACTGAGTAGCTGGGATTACAGGCGCCTGCCACCACGCCAGGCTAATTTTTATATTTTTAATAGAGATGGGGTTTTGCCATGTTGGTCAGGCAGGTCTTGAACTCCGAACCTCAGGTGATCCACCCACCTCGACCTCCCAAAGTGCTGGGATTACAGGTGTGAGCCACCGTGCCCGGCCCAAATTTTAGAAGTAGGTGGACAGGATATTTATAGTGCGTGCATTTTTCTGGAAAAAGGGAAACAGCAGCTTTGAGATTTTCAGAAGGGGTCCATATCTTTTAACACCACCAACAACAAAAATGAATCGCTGGGGTGGGTGGTCGGGAACCATGGCAAGGTTTGGAGTAGAGAAGGAACAACATGACTTCATTGGAAAGGTCCCCTGGGGCTGGTGAGGACAGGATAGAGGGAGGGTGGTCTGGGCAGGAGAGGACAGGCCTGGGCTGTGTGGGACATGGTGGCACGACAGGGAAGGGAGCCATCCAGTGGGGTTTAGAAGCAGGACGGATAGCTGGGCGTGGTGGCTCACACCTGTAATCCCAGCTCTTAGGGAGGCAGAGGCGGGAGGATAGCTTGAGCCCAGGAGTTTGAGACCTGCCTGGGCGATATAGCGAGACAGAATGGATAAGCCTTGGCGACTGACTCGTTGTGGAGAGTCCAGCACAGGGCTGGGGTTTGGGACAGCTGCACGTGGCTGGAGGAGATGGGAGGAACCAGCCCTGACTTTGGGGAACAGAAGCCTGCTGTAACCTTTGTAATAGGAAACGAGGCTGTGGCTGCGGGGCTGGAGACCCAACCTACCTGTTTCCAGCAAGGAGACTGAAGCCTAGCCGGGCTGGGCCCACCCCGATTCCAGTCACCCCATGCCAGTCACAGGCAGACAGCTGAGCATGTAGACCTCCTGCCTCCTTCAAGACAGGCGGGAGCTCTCCCAGCGTGTAGGTGTCCCTAGTGAAGGAGCGTGTACTATTGGCACATCCTTTGACAAAAATGGTAGCGCACTGTACATATTCTGCAGGTTGGCGTTTACTTCTGTAGTATGTCACGAACTTGTATTTTGAAAATCTCGGCGTAGTATTCCATGCTGCAGAGTCCCACTCACGAGACGTTCCTCTGCTGATGAATGCGTCGTGGTCTCCGATTGTTTCCCTACAGTTTGATGCTTTTACCTGTCATGGGTAGATTGTGGGGAGTGGGTCGTTGGCCCTCCACGGCCCCCAAACAGGGCAGGTGAGAGCATCTGGGGCCTGTGTCAGGCTGCACTTGCTCCTGCAGCCCAAGTGCTCAGGCCAGGCCTCTTGTTTCCTCCCCAGGCCCCTGAGCCTCTGAGCTCCTTGAAGTCCATGGCGGAACGGGCAGCCATCAGCTCTGGCATTGAGGACCCTGTGCCAACGCTGCACCTGACCGAGCGAGGTGAGGGACCCAGGATGGTGGGGAAGCAGCGGGCCAAAGAGGAGGGGCTGCCCCTGACCCATCCTCACCACTGAGGGGGCCGGACCCCCACCCTCCCCACAGACATCATCCTGAGCAGTACATCAGCACCTCCGGCCTCAGCCCAGCCGCCCCTGCAGCTGTCAGAGGTGAACATACCGCTGTCGCTGGGTGTCTGTCCACTGGGCCCTGTGCCCCTCACCAAGGAGCAGCTCTATCAGCAGGCCATGGAAGAGGCCGCCTGGCACCACATGCCTCACCCCTCTGACTCTGAGCGTATTCGGTGAGGGGCCACAGGGAAGGGGGATGGTCTGGGACTTGAGTCTTACGGAGGAGGCAGTGGCTGAACCTGTGAGGCTGTGGGTAGAGCACCAGGCCCCTGACTTGGGCTCTCCACTGAAGGTCAGCACCGCCCTGGGTCTTTCTGTACCACCTCCCCCCGCAGGGATGCATGTCTGAGCACCCTTTTGATCACGACAGGACTAGTAGGCAGCTGGCACTGACCTTCCTGTTGCTCTCACAGGCAGTACCTCCCCCGGAACCCCTGTCCGACGCCCCCCTACCACCACCAGATGCCACCCCCACACTCGGACACTGTGGAATTCTACCAGCGCCTGTCGACCGAGACACTCTTCTTCATCTTCTACTATCTGGAGGTACAGCAGGGCCCCCGGGGCAGCCTCGGGCCCCCCGGCTTCGCCGCCACCGCCGCCGTCCCCCCTCGGGCTGGAGGGGTGAGGTGGGTGCCCCACTGCGGCCACTGGGACCGCACCCCCTCCCTATTCCCACTCCTGGGCCCCTGCCCCAAATCCACCTGTCCCCGTCCCCGCCTTCCAGCCCAGAGATGTTAGAACTGCTTGGGTTGACAGCGAGGCTGGTCCACTGAGGCACACCTCAGCCCCGCTTCCAGTTGCCCACTGGCTCACCCGCGGCCCCTCCCCAGCCCTGCTCCAGCAGCCCCAGTCTAGGCCGACCCCACTCTGCTCATCGGCACATTCTCAGGCCTCCCTGGAGACCACTGGGGAGCTGTCCAGCCCCCTCCCAACCCCAGTGAGTCATGAGTGACCTCCACCCTCATCCCCACTTGGGAAATTTTCTAAATTGCCTCCTCTCTCAGCTCTCATCACACATTAGTTTTTCTTCCTTCTCAAAGCTTCTCTGAAAGCAATTTTCACCTCCTGTCTCATTTTCCTTCTCCTGATCAGCATTGGTATGTTCTGTGCCCCCAGCCCCATCTCCAAGAGGATTGTCCAGCCCAACTGTGGTCTGTGGCGGGGGCCGGGGTTCAGCCCTGATGTCCTGCCCCATTCCCCTGGCTCCCCACCCAGTTTGGGGGCCCCCTGATCCCCCTCTCCACTGTTCCTCCCCCAGGGCACTAAGGCACAGTATCTGGCAGCCAAGGCCCTAAAGAAGCAGTCATGGCGATTCCACACCAAGTACATGATGTGGTTCCAGAGGCACGAGGAGCCCAAGACCATCACTGACGAGTTTGAGCAGGTGAGGGCCCCGCCCCCTCTCTTCCCGCTGCTAGGGTTGGGGTAGAGTCCCCAGGCTCCAGGCAGCCCCTGCTGGCCTCTGCTCCCTTGCCTCCACCTTTCAGCTGGCGCAGTCCCTCAGCCTGACCAAGTACTCCTCCCTCTGGCTGTCTGCTCAGCCTGGAACACCGCCCTCTCATCCTCCACTTGGCCAGCTCCTAGGCCTCCTGTAGGTCTCAGCCCAAATGTCCCTTCCTCAAAGAAACCTTCCTGGAGCCACCCAGCCCAGTGCCTCCCCTTTGCAGTGCTGGGCACACTCGCTTGGGGTGTGGGATTTTCCCAGTATGTGTCCCTGCACCAGGCTGTGGGCTCTGCTGCCGAGGGACCTTGATGGCCCCCACTTCACCTCCAGGTCCCAGCACTCAGCAGGGCAGGGGCTCAGTGCCGAAACTATTTTTTTTGAATGGGCTTCTCAAGTTCTAATACTGGGAAATTCCTGCTGCTTGCAAACACTCTGGAACCAACCTACCTGGGTTTCAGCCCAGTCCAGCTGGGCGACTCTAGGCAAGTCACTCGAACCTCTGTGTCTCAATTAACTTATCTGTAAAAATGGGGGGAAGACCACCTACCTAATGCAGTTGTTATGAAGATTAAATGAGTTAATAACATGTAAGTACTTAATGGTGACTGCTACATAGTCAGTGTCATGGATTTTTTTTTTCAAATTACTTTCAGTTGGTGTGTTCTACAGTGATGTTTTTTTCCACCAAATACTTCCCTGATGCCGAGCCCCTTCATGGGGATGAAGTAGTACAAGGTCCTTGTCCTCAGAGAACTCAGTCCCCTCTCCTGGTTCTCCCAGGTTGCCATCTTTGAAGCACTTAAGACATTCATTTAGAACCTAGGTCCTCTCCCATTGTGTCCTCAGATGTTAACCACAGACTTCCTGTCCTTTCCTGGTTTGGCCCAAAACCATCCTCCAAGTTAGTACATTTCAGGGCATCCAGTCATTCAGAAATTCCCACACCACTTCCGTCACCAATAAAATGTCCCTGCAGAGTGCTTGGATTTAGACTCTGAGACTGTTCCATTCTCTAGAACAAGGGTGACAGTACCCACTGCCTCGAGGTCTTTGTGAAGATTAAATGCTAGGCTGTGCATCCTGTACTCACGTGAGAGGTGCTCAAAAGCCACAGCCCTCGAGGAAACGAAGGCTGTGCACTCACACCTGGGGCTGGGGCCCCGTTCTGGCAGCTGGCTTCGGTGGAACCTCTGCGGCCCCCTCCGTTTCCTCCTCGCTGAAGTGGCATGATAACATTTCCTACCCAAGAAGAACCTTGTGAGGATGGATGAGAGTGTGTGCGTGCAGGGCAGCTGGCCCGGTGCCTGACACATCCACAGCCCTAAGAATTGTCCCCTTTGTCTGTTGGTCCGGCCCAGATCCCAGACCACCTCCTCGTCCACTCACTGACCGCCTTCTCCCCCGGCCAGGGCACCTACATCTACTTTGACTACGAGAAGTGGGGCCAGCGGAAGAAGGAAGGCTTCACCTTTGAGTACCGCTACCTGGAGGACCGGGACCTCCAGTGACACCGGCCCCTCCCTCTACCCACCCCCTTCCCCCGCATGCTGATCCCCCTGCCCAGGTGAGGGCCCTGCCCTGGAAGACTGGAGGGAGGCCCCAAGCCACGGGGCATCCCCCTCTCCCAGGAAGCAGGGAGGGGGCCGGGAGGTTTTCCTCTCAGCCCCACCCTGGGGGCCCGGGGGCGAGGGCTGCCCCCTCCTCCCCTCCCCAGTGAGGGACATTTTTTGGTAAACCTATTTTCATTTTGGAAAATATTTATGAATAAATAGTTTTATATGACGGCTGGCAGCAGCGGCCTCTCCTGTACCCCCTCAGGAGTCAGTGAGTAAGGTGAGGGTCCTGCTGGCGGGGGCGCCGGGCCAGCTGGGGGTTGAATTGGGAGTTGTACCGCCGCCGCCGGTCATCCGTCTCGTCTTCTTCCGGCTGACCCTCCTGTAGTGCCCGGCCTTGGACCCGGGCCAGCAGGGCCTCTGCCCGAGACCTCTCAGCTGCTTCCCTCCGCAGACGTTCAGCTCGAAGCTGGTCCAGGGATGGAGGCCTGTGGGGAGAGGAGTGAGGTCAGAAAGCTGGTAGCCCCTAGGAGGCCATTCCCCCAACCTCTCCCATAGAGGGAGCTGCCGCCTGGAAGCCCCGCTGCATCCAGCACACCCCAGCCTCAGCTCCTTAGGCCTGCTGGAAGCAGCCACTTGGTGCTGGGACGCCATGGGCACGTCTCTGGCCTTCCCTTCTGTGGGCTTTGGTCCTCCCCAGTCTTTAAAATCTGATGCTTCTCCAGGTCAAGAAAGCACACTTAGCAGCCCCCTGGCCCTCAGTTTCCCTTTCTAGAGGAAAGAAGACTACAGGCAGTGTACCCCCTCTAGACCAGGGGTGCAGCATCCTGGAGACAGAAGCCTGCTTTTACTCTCTAACCCAGCAGCTCTCAAACTCTTTGGTCTCAGGACCCCTTTATACTCTTAAAAACCAAGGACCCCAAGAGCTTTTGTTTAAATGGGTTCTCTTAATATGCTGCAAATCATTAGTGAAAACTAAGAAAGTTTGGACACAAGCATCTGCCATTGGCCATCAGAGTGAGGGTGTCTCCCCATCACACAGCCTCTGGAAACCTGCACTACATGCCTGAGAACACGAGTGGAAAAGTCCACCAGTGTCAGGAAAATAGGCTTGACACCACAGCACCCCGGGAAAGGGTGTCAGGACCCCTAGGGCTCCCTGGACCACATGCTGAGAACCACTTCTCCACCTAGCCAGCCCTTCACGGAGTCCCTGGCTGTCCTGACCAGAGACGCTGCAGTGCCCATGCTGGGCTGCTGCCAAGCCCTGAAGGTCTGGGCCCTGGTCTGCCGAGGTGGGGTCTTCTTACTCCTTGGGTCGCTGCTTCTCAGACCCCTCCTTTTCCTTTCTGCTGCGACTGCCTTCATCACCGCCGTGCTGTCTCTTCTTCCCCAGATGCTTCTGCATCTCCCGCAGAGGGTCCAGACGGCTCTTGATCTTCTCATCTGGGGCTGGGCCGGGCGGGGGGCCCCCTCGCCCTGGGGGTAGCTGGTACCAAGGGGGTTGAGTCTGTGCCTCCGCTGCACTCTGGCCCAGGTATGTCAGGATGCCCAGAGCTTTCTCTTGCCTCTCCTGAGGGGGCCAGGAAATACAAGAGATGTGATATAATCTTTCAAGGTGTCAGGTGTGTCTCCCTGACACAGGTATCTAAGCGAACAGGTATCTAAGGCTTGTTATGAACCAGTTGGACCAGGTGCTGGGGATGGAAGACAAACAGAGGCAAAGCTCCCCCTGGGGGGACAGTAGCAGGTACAGTAACAGCAGGGGAAGGAGGGGACAAGTGGAGCCACTTGAGTGTTCAGAGGCAGGCATCTTTGCAGAGAGACTTGAAGAGAAGCCTGAAGGGATCAAGCAAAGCAGAGGAGCGATGGGTGGGGTCAGCAAGTCCAGAGACAGCAGATAAATGACAAGAGCTGATGTACCTCTTTTTTTTGAGATGGAGTCTCGCTCTGTTGCCCAGACTCGAGTGCAGTGGCACGATCTCGGCTCACTGCAACCTCTGCTTCCCAGGTTCAAGCAATCCTCCTACCTCAGCCCCCCGAGTAGCTGGGATTACAGGCACACACCACCATGCCCAGCTAATTTTTGTATTTTTAGTAGAGACGGGGTTTTGCCATGTTTGGCCAGGCTGGTCTTGAACTTCTGACCTCAGGTGATCCACCCACGTTGGCCTCCCAAAGTGCTGGGATTACAGGCGTGAGCCACCATGCACAGCCACTGATGTACCTTTTACACTTGATCTTAGCCAAAAAGCAAGAGGCGATTGATTCACTTTTTGTTTGATTGTTTTGAGATGGGGTCTCGCTCTGTCACCCAGGCTGGAGTGCAGTGGCGCAATCTCGGCTTACTGCAGCTTCCACCTCCTGGGTCAAGCGATTCTCCTGCTTCAGCTTCCCTGGGATTACAGGCGCGCACCACCATGCCCGGCTAATTTTTTTTGTATTTTTAGAGATACCATGTTGACCAGGCTGGTCTTGAACTCCTGACCTCAGGTGATCCACCCGCCTCAGCCTCCCAAGGTGGTGGGATTACAGGCGTGAGCCACAGCCGGCTGATTTAAATTTTTAAAAGCCCATCAGGTTTGAGACTCCTCCAGTTTGGAGAACTGAGCGGTTTGCCCAGCAGCTGGGGACCTCTAGCATCTACCTCCAACCCCTGTGGGCGCCCAGACGGCAATAGCCAACGCTTTTTGAGTGTCATGCCTTGGTATGGTCCTAAATTCTGTGTGTTCACTCTTGTTTGACCTTGGTCACAACCAATGGCTAAAGTGCCCCCTCCCTCCAACTCGATTCATGGCCCCTCTGATGAAGTGGGTGAGGCCAGCTTACTTTCTCCTGTCGCTTTTCTTCCTCGTACTCTTTATTGCCTCTGATCACTCCTTTCCCTTCCTCCAGCAGCTCCCGAAACAGGTCCACAGGGCCAGAACCTGGGGCTCCCGCCTCTGCTGCTTCAAGCTCAGGCAGTGAGTTCTGATGTCTGGCTTTCTTCCGTAGGAATTCTGTACGGGCCTGGGGAGAAAGTTATAGGCAGGACATTCAGAACCTAGAGGTAATTCAAGAACTGTGAGTCTGGTGCCCACCACAGAAAATGGCAGTCCAGGGTGCTGGGGTTATGAGAAAGGGAGCACTAGGCGCCTAAAAGAGGCACCTGTCCTAGCTGGGGGTGAGGGTAGGCAGATGAGGCAACGCCTGGGTTTTGTAAACTCCCTTTCAAATAGTAAACCACGGGTCATCAAGGATGTATGGGAGGAGGTCCCTGGCCTAAACCAAAGGGGTTCCTAACCTCAAGTGAGACAATTAAAACAGCCATAAAGGTATGCATTAGGCCAGACGATCTGAATTCTAGCCATGGCTCCAAGTGACTACCCCAAGTCTGCTGAAGCCCTGTCCCCTGCCTTCAGGACGCGGATTTCAAACAGCGCTCAGCAGCCTACTGAGATTCTAAAAACCTAGACTACCTCCCACCCACGGCGGAGGATCAGACTAGCTAAGGAAATGAAAGTTGGGTGTACACCAAACAGATTTAAAGAGCCATACGGAAAGCCCGTGTTTGTGTGTATGTGTCTAGGGGGCGGTGCACGAAAGGGCTCGCCCGATGGCGTGGAGCCTGGCTGTCCGCCTCTCCTTAAAATGTGCCTTCCCCTCACTGAAGCCATCTCACTTCGTGCAACAGAGATGACAGTGCCCCTCTAAGAACGAACAGTGCTTATTGGGGATTCCGCAAGTCAGGTGCACGGCATGTAGTTAGCATACAGTAGATGCTCAATAAATAGGCTGTGCAGGCAAACTAAAAAGTGATCCGAATTTCCTTGAACTGTCCAAGGGTTCACGGATTCATTAAATGTTAAGCTTCTCTTTTGTGCTAGACACTGTTCCAGCCATGTGAAATACATCAGTGGGGGAAAAACTAAGACGAGGGCGAGATCAAGGAAGGTTTCGTGGAAGTGGGCACAAGGTTTGCGGGGCAACGTCCTCGAAAGTGGGATCGGCGCCTGGTCCCGAATTTCACACGGGGCACATTGAGCCTGCGCAACGCCTCCGCTTCCGGCCCCCAACCGCGGCGCCTGCGCGCTGGGCCCCGGAGCGCCGCCCTGCCGGCTTCCGAGCTTACCTCTTGCTGAGCCAGCAGCACCCTCCGCTCACGCTCCTTCTCCTCCTCCCGGGCCTGGGCCTCGTCACGCCGCACGCGGGCGACATTGTCCTTGTTCCGGACGTGCCAGCTCTTCTTGGGCAAGATATTCATGGCGTCGTAGCTGTCCAGGGACTGGCACGCCCGCCTCTTTGCACTTCCGATTGGCGAGAGGATGCCCCCCTTTTTCTTGTCCCTACTTCGACCGCGGATTGGTTCCGAATTAGTTGGTACGGCCCCCTGGCCTGTAGCGACAGGTGATTGGCTGAGACGCCCTTTATCACAGCGAATGCTAGGCGTTCGGCTCGTGGTATCCCCTAGCAACCGCCTCTTGTCACAGATCTGAACCAATCATAAGTTGGCCCGCCCCTGATGCTACCAGATGCGGCCGTCGATTGGCCGACATGACCGACAAGTCTCCTTGCGGAAGAGCGCTCTGCACCGACAAACATGCCCGTACATTTGATTGGCTCCTGCCCCGCTGTAGCCCTGCCCCCACCTTCAGGACGCAGATTTCAAAGCGCGCTCAGCAACCTCGGCTGTATTTATTGATACAAGGAAGATCACCCGAGAGTCAGGGACGTGGCGGCGAGGGGCCCTGGAAATCTCCAGATACCAAAGCTGGAAGGGCGTGGAGTCTTCTCCAGTTCTCCTAGTTTACAGATGTTGTGACCTAGGCTTACAATGGGCCTGGGGTCTGAAAGCGGGACGTGGGCTGCGGGGGTCAAAGAGCCGGTTTGGTGGAGGTCAGCGCCACAGCGCGCCGTGCCAGGAAGACTTTATTCTGCGCCTCCTGGGGCAAAGAGAGGTGGAGGTGAGACAATCCTCTTCCCCAACCCCTTTCCATGTTCCCCAGGGGCCCTCTCAGGGACCCGCCTGGCTCACCGTCTGTCTCTGACGTTTGAGCTCAGAGATGAGGCGTCCGTAGGAGTTAGCCAGAGCCACAGTGTACGCCATCAGGATGCTGAAGGAGACAGGAACGGAAGCCACTCCTGACACGCTCTTCCATTATATCCAAACGTCTGGCTCCTTCGAAGCCAGGGATGTGGACGCCTAAGCCCCTCCTCGTCTGGGCTCAAGGAGTTCAGTCTCCCAGCCCCTCCGCCTTCAGATCCAGGAGTCCTACGTCCCGCCCACCTCCTCCTTCGGACCCAGCAGTCCAGGAGCCTAGGCCTCCTCCCTCAGACTCAGTACGTTGCCTGCTCCCACGCCCAAGCCTCTCCTCTCTTGGACGCAGGTGGTGGCCCCCAGATCACACGCATTCAAACCCAGACCCAGAAGTCTGGGCCGTCTCACCTGGAGATCAGCAGAAGGGGCACAGCAAAAGCCTGGGTCCCCAGGAAGAAGAGGAAATTCTGGGTGGTCTCAGGGAGGCTGGAAATAGACTCAGGGATCTGGGCCCAGATGGACGACTGCCCCCGGAATGGACCACAAAGCTTAGAAGGCGGGATCCTGAAGTCAAGACAGGCTGGGCTCACATAGTGCCAGGAGTCTGAACACTGAATGGGGAGAGAGGGAGGGAGAGAGGCGGGAGCCTCTCGCACTTACAGGAAGATGCTGTAAAGCAGGGGAACGCTGGAGATGGCCAGACCCAGGAGAAGGACCAAGGGGAAAAAGAAATTCGCCGCGGAGGCCCGGAAGGTGCGGGCAGCCGGGGAGCAGGTGGAGAAGAGGGTAAGCTGGTGGGGGAAGGCACGGAGAAAAGGGCTCTGAAACACAAGAGTCTGTGCCTCCATTTTTTTTTTTTTTTTTTTTGAGACAGAGTCTCGCTCTGTCGCCCAGGCTTTTTTTTTTGAGACAGAGTCTCGCTCTGTCGCCCAGGCTGGAGTGCAGTGGCTCTCACTGCAGCCTCCCCTCCCGGGTTCAAGCTATTCTCGTGTCTCAGCCTCCCGAGTAGCTGGGATTACAGGTGTGCACCACCACTCCCGGCTAATTTGTTTTGCTGTTGTTGTTGTTTGTTTGTTTTCTCTTTTTGAGACGGAGTCTCGCTCTGTCGCCCAGGCTGGAGTGCAGTGGCACGATCTTGGCTCACTTCGACCTTCACCTCCCTGGTTCAAGCAATTCCCCTGCCTCAGCCTCCTGAGTAGCTGGGATTACAGGCGCCTGCCACTAAGCCCGGCTAATTTTTTTTGTATTTTTAGTAGAGACGGGGTTTTGCCATGTTAGCCAGGCTGGTCTCAAACTCCTGACCTCAGGTGATCCACCCGCCTTAGTCTCCCGAAGTGCTGGGATTACAGGCGTGAGCCACTGCACCCGGCCTACCTGCCTCTCCTTTTTTCCGAACCAGGAGTCTGAGCCCCTTCCTCATCTAGGACCCCGGAGTCTGAGTCCCCAGATCCTCAGACATATAAGTCAGAATGCCCTAGACCCCTCCTCTCAGATGCAGTAGTCTGTCCTCCAACCCCCTCCTCTCTCAGGACCGAGTAATCCAGGCCCCCAGGATCTTCCTTGCCCTTGACCCAGGAGTGCGGGCCCCAATACCTCCTGCCTCAGACCCAAGGGTCCCCCCTACCCCTTACCTTCTTCAGGTAGAAAAGCAGCAGGAACTTGACCGTGTTAAGCAGGGGCAGTAAAGGGCAGAAAAAACTCCCCACCCAGACCACCGTCTGCGCGTAGATGAGCCCCAGCACCTCGTCGGGCACCTGGAACTCCTGGGTCCCCGCCAGACGACCCAGCGCCCCAGGACAGAGGCCACAGAGGAGCCTGAAGGACGGGGCGGGGCCGGGCCGGAGTCAGGGGAGTGGCGGCCTGGAGTTTCCCCGCCTCCACCGCCCCGCCCGCCAATAGGAAGCATGCGTATTGGTTGGGGGGGGGGGGGCGGGACTTTCAGGACTCCACGTGGAGGGGGTGTGTCCAGAGGGCGGGTCCTGAGGACTAGAAGGGACCCAGATGTCGCCGCCGTCGGGGCCAGAGGGAAGTAACCCACTAAAACAAGGGCGGGGAGCGGGGAGATCTGCGGACCTAGGGCAAGCAAAGGGAGCAGGCAGAGGCGGGAATGGTAAAAAGGTGCGCGGTGAAAAGAACAGCGCGATGGGGCACGGCCTCGTCCTAGAGGGGCGGGGCCACAGCAAGGGGCGGGGCTCTCACTTTCTAGGAAACTGGATGAGCAGCGCGACTGCCAAGACAGTCAGCAGATCAAAGAGCAGAAGTTTGTACATTTCCTGGCCCAGGACAGTCTCCCAGCACTGAAGAAGGAAGAAATATATCAGAAAGAACTCGGGACCCGGGCACCTGGAGGCCCACGCGTCCGAGTCTCCACATCGCAAGCCTATGAGACCCTGTCAATACTTTCTCTGGGGGTCCTCGTTTTTCAAACTTTCATACCCTTGGGAGAGTGTTCCAGCACCCCAAGCTCCCCTCTCCGCCCAAACCAAGAGTCTGGACCCACCCAGCTCCATCTTTCCTTCAGGGACCCAAGAGTCCCACGCACACCCATGCCGTTCTCACCGGAAGTTGTTTGTAATTGTAGCCACAGGTTTTGCAGTCCTCAGCCTCGGAGTCGCCCCCACAAGTGATCTGATTCCAGAGAGAGAAGAGCAGGACCACCAGGGAGGCGAGGCGAAGAAACACGGTCCTGAAGGGGGGAAGGCAGAGAATGGGCCCTGACCCGGTACCCACCATGTGGCAGTTCCCTTCTCAGTGGAACGCGCCCGCATTCAACCCATCTCACAGATGAAGCTGAGGCCCAGTGACAGAATCAGGATTTCTTTCTTTCTTTCTTTCTTTTTTTTTTTTTTTTTTTGAGACAGGGTCTCACTCTGTCACCCGGACTGGAGTGCAGTGGCGCGATCTCAGCTCACTGCAACCTCCACCTCCCAGGCTCGAGCCATTCTCCTGCCTCAGCCTCCCGAGTAGCTGGGACTACAGAAGCCACTACCGCCGGGCTAATATTCGTATTTTTACTACAGACGGGGTTTCATCATGTTTGTCAGGCTGGTCTCGAACTCCTGACCTCAGCCTCGGCCTCCCAAAGTGCTGGGATTACAGGTGTGAGCCACTGCACCTGGCCAACAGAGTCAGGATTTGAATCCCTGGATTCGGTATCAGCAGGATTTCCGTGTCTTACCTGTCAGCGCCAACATCCCTCTGACCGCCCCCACCCTTCATCATTCCCAGCCATCCCCGTGAGGCTGGAACCTGAGCAGGATAAAAACGATCTGGCGACTCCGAGTGTAGCCCTCCAGTGGAGCAATGAGCTTGAACACGGGCGGCAGCACAAAATTGACCCCAGCGATGAAGATGGACGGAAGGTAATTCACCCCAAGCTTCAGCAGTGGCAACTCCTGGACAAGGGGCATCTCCTGGGAGCGGGATGGACCATGAGTAGAGGCTTGGGGTCCTGGAGGAGCCAAGCTTAAGGTCCTCCCCCCGGCCTCTTCTTCTTCTTCTTCTTTTTTTTTTTTTTTTTGAGACAGAGTCTCGCTCTGTTGCCCAGCCTAGAATGCAGCGGTGCGATCTCGGCTCGCTGCAACCTCTGCCTCCCGGGTTCAAGTGATTCTCCTGCCTCAGCCTCCTGAGTAGCTGGGATTACAGGCGCCCACCACCACGCCCGTCTAATTTTTGTATTTTTAGTAGAGACTGTTTTTCACCATGTTGGTCAGGCTGGTCTGGAACTCCTGACATCGTGATCCGCCCGCCTCAGCCTCCCAAAGTGCTGGGATTACAGGTGTAAGCCACCGCGCCCAGCCTCTCTTTTTCCTTTAAAATCCCTAAGTCCAGGGTCCGAACATACCCTCTCCCATACTTCCTCTCTAAGATCTCTGGCATCCCAAACTTCCGTCCCCTCCCTCCACCGTTGGAAATGTAGGTTCCAGGACCCCCTGGCTTCCTCTTCCAAGACCGTCCGCACCTGCAGCTCCACGGTGCACCCCGTAGCCCAGTAGACGCCATAGAAGGCTGCCCCCAGGAGCGCGACCACCAGCAGGTTGAGCAGCACCCGCACCAACCAAACCCTGGCTTGCTGGCCCAGCGTCCGCACCGCAGCCTGGCGCCGCACCACTGTCTCCTCCAGCTCCACCTGAAGGCAGGAGAGATGCCCGCTTGGACTCCATTTCCCAAGGCGCGGGCCTCCCGGTTCCCCAGGTCTGGCTCTCCAGAGATCCTCCTTAACGTGAACTGATGCAGCCGTCTCCCCACCCGCTAACAACCTCTGCAGTCCTGGTTCCACCCGCTCCAGGAAACCAGCGGCCCTTTACAGCCCCGCCCCTTCGCGGCCGGATCCAGCAACCCAAGCCCCCATCCCTCCGCGGTCAATCTCAGCACCCCAGGCCCCGCCCCTGAGGCTCCGCCCAGCATCCCAAGACCCGCCCCTGGTCAGCCCTGCCCATCAGAGGCTCCGCCCCCAGGTGGCCCTGCGCTTTATTCCTGGCCTGAAGTTCCAGTTCAGCTGTATCAAGACGCCCTGCTGGCCGCTCCCATCACTTAACTTTGAACCAAATTGCCTTAGGCCCCGCCCGCTTCTTGTGCTTACTTAAAAAAAAACAAACTTTTTTTTTTTTTTTTTGGTAGAGAGGGAGCCTCCCTATGTTGCCCAGGCTGGTCTCGAACTCCTAGACTGAAGCGATCCACCTGTCTCGGTCTCCCAAAGTGCTGGGGTTACAAGCATTAGCCACCGATCCCAGCCCTGGCGCATCCTTTTCCTACACGCTTGGAGCTCGGGCAGCCCTATCTCGGCCTCCTCTCAACCTTCTCATTCCCCAGGACCTGCCTTTCTTGGAGAAGGAGCTGCTTAGCATCTCTCCGGAGGCCCCATCACCGAGTTAGGCCCTGTGCGTTATCTCAGCCCGGTCCTGTCTGGTCCCTACCCAGTTGCAGACCCCGCTCCCTAATCGCACCTTTAATTCGTACAAGATGATGCGCTGGCGCAGCCGCACGTGGACGTCCCCGCAGAGACCGAAGTCCCAGGCCGAGAACACCCGGTGGCTGTAGCTGGTCAGAGCCTCGGACTCCGCCAGCAGTGTCTGCTTCAGCCCAGACACCGAGCTGAGAGGGGAGACCCGGGAGACGGGAAGTGAAAGGACAGCCAGGAACGGGGGTTATGGGGAGACCCCTCATATTGGGACAAATGGGGAAGATGAACCCTAAGGCCTTGGGTACTAGGCGAGTTCCCACCAGACCAGATGGGGAAAGAGTCAAAGAGGCGGAGACACAGTCATTGAAGGCAAAGTCCAAGGGAGATTCAGAGACAGTTCTGGGGTGCAGGCACCCCAAAGAGAGGCAGAAACCTAGGAGACAGGGACAGAGCCTCGGAGCGAAGGGGGCAGAAACCCAGAGTGAGAGAAACAGAGGCCCTGAGGAAGACAGAGATGTGGAGGAGGGACAGAGGCCCCAGAGGGAGATTCGGAGAAAGGGAGAAAAAGACAGTGAGAAAGGGGAAACTACATCTACAAAAGATGGGGGTCAAAGACCCATAAGAAGTACAGGCACACAGAGAAGGGAGCTGCGGCGGGAAGAGCCGAGAAGAAGACAGAGACCCAGAGAAGATGGCAGGTAAAGACTCAAGAGAGGGGGCAGGCCAGGCGCCATGGCTCACGCCTGTAATCCCAGCACTTTGGGAGGCCGAGGGGGGAGGATCACCTGAGGTCAGGAGTTTGAGACCAGCCTGGCCAATGTGGTGAAACCCCGTCTCTACTAAAAATACAAAAATTAGCCAGGCGTGGTGGTGCATGCCTGTAATCCCAACTACTTGGGAGGCTGAGGTGGGAGGATCACTTGAACCCAGGAGGTGGAGGTCGCCTCCAAAAAAAAAAAAAAAAGACCCAGAGAAGACGGGCAGGTAAAGAGACTCAAGAGAGGGGGGCAAAGACCCAGGAAGGAGATAGAGAACCCCAGCAGGGGCAGAAACAGAACTGGACAAAGAGACCATGTGCACCTTCACTGCCCTGGCCCCGGCCCCCATCATCTCTCATGTGAACAACCACAGAGGGCCCTCACATGGTCTCCTTGCTTCCACTTGTGCCCGCATATAATCCATTCTCAGTTCTTGAGCCAGTGGGACCTTCTTTTGATGCAACTCAGACCGTATTCCCCTGTTTAAGACCTATTCCAGGGCTTTTCCCTTCTCTTAAAATCGAGGCTCTTTGCCGGGCGTGGTGGCTCACGCCTGTAATCCCAGCACTTTGGGAGACCGAGGCGGGTGCATCACCTGAGGTCAGGAGTTCGAGACCAGCCTGACAAACATGGTGAAACCCCATTTCTACTAAAAATACAAAATTAGCCGGGCATGGTGGCACATGCCTGTAATCCCAGCTACTTGGGAGGTTGAGGCAGGAAAATTGCTTGAACCCGGGCGGCGGAGGTTGCAGTGAGCTGAGATCGCACCACTGCACTCTAGCCTGGGTGACAGAGCGAGACTCCGTCTCAAAAAAAAAAAAAGTTGACTTTTGGCCAGGCACATTGGCTCATGCCTGTAATTCCAGCACCTTGGGAGGCTGAGGTGAGCAGATCTCTTGAGCCTAGGAGTTTGAGCGCAGCCTGGGCAACATAGCAAGACCCTGTCTCTATAACATTAAAAAAAAAATTTTAGCAAGACATGGTGGTGCACCCCTGTGGTCCCAGCTGCTCCCGAGGCTGAGGTAGGCGGATCAGTTGAGTTCCGGAGGCCCAGGCTTCCGGTGAGCTATGATTGCACCACCGCACGCTAGCCGGGTGACAGAGTGAGACCCTGTCTCAAAAAACAAAACAGACTGGGTGCGGTGGCTCACACCTGTAATCCCAGCACTTTGGGAGGCCGAGGCAGGTGGATCACCTGAGATCAGGAGTTCGAGACCAGCCTGGCCAACATGGCGATACCCCGTCTCTACTAAAAATACAAAAAATTAGCTGGGCGTGGTGGCCGGAGCCTGTAAACCCAGCTACTTGGGAGGGTGAGGCAGTAGAATCGCTTGAACCCGGGAGGTGGAGGTTGCAGTGAGCCAAGATCGTGCCATTGCACTCCAGCCTGGGCGACAGAGTAAGACTCTGTCTCAAAAACAAACAAACAAAACAAATGAAAAACAAAAACAAATCCCAAAACCTTGATCTTTTTTTTTTTTTTAGATGGAGTTTCGCTCTGTCGCCCAGGCTGGAGTGCAGTGGCGCAAACTCGGCTCACTGCAAGCTCCGCCTCCTGGGCCACCGCTCCTGGCCCAAAACCTTGATTTTAACTCACACAGAATAAAGGGTTACACAGCAAGACCGAGGATTCTGGGGCCGGGCGCGGTGGCTCACGCCTGTAATCCCAGCACTGTGGGAGGCCGAGGCGGGTGGATCACGAGGTCAGCAGTTCAAGACCAGCCTGACCAACATGGTGAAACCCCATCTCTACTAAAAATACAAAAAAGTTAGCTGGGCGTGGTGGCGGGCGCCTGTAATCCCAGCAACTTGGGAGGCTGAGGCAGGAGAATCGCTTGAAACCGGAAGGCGGAGGTTGCAGTGAGCCGAGATTGCGCCACTACACTCTAGCCTGGGCAATAAGAGCAAAACTCCGTCTCAAAAAAAAAAAGACTGAGGATTCTTGGGGAGGGGGTTTCTGCCACCACCACTTGCTCCCCCACCCCAACCCGTCCCGTCAGGGGTCAGGGGTGCAGGTGCCACTGACCGATGCAGGATGAGCAGGAGGCAGATGAGGCCAACGGCAAAGGCCCAGCACAGGTAGGTGACCGCCAGGCGTGGGCGGGGCGGGTAGAAGCCATAGAAGAGAGGGGACCATTCCAGGTAACCCTGTGGGGGGAAGGCGGCGCAGGGGCCACTGTGGGAGGAGGCGGGGCTCCTGGAGCTGCACAGTCAGGGTCTGGGGTCAGGGTTTGAGGTTCGTGTCATTGAAGGCACTGGGGTCACAGGTGGGCGGGGAATCCCCCAGGGACCCAGGCACCTACCTCACCCGAGAGCAAGTTGAAGAGCTGGGTGGCAAAGGTGACCAGGCCCTGGGAGTGGGGGTTATAGGAGCCGCAGGGCGAGGAGATGTCGGGGCCGGGAGGGCCTGGGGGAGCGCCTCCCAACCAGGTGGGCAGCAGCGTCATGCAGGCCATGAGCACAGAGGCCAGCACGTTAAGAAGGAGCAGGAAGCGCAGCAGGGAGAAGTAGGACTCCGTGCCGGCGCCAAACTGGCCTGCAGGGGGCAGCAGAGAGAGGCTCAGGTTCCTTCCCGGGAGCAGGACCAGCCCCTCCTACCCCTGGACTGGGGTCCAGCCGCGCCTTCCTTTCTTTCTTTCTTTTCTTTCTTTTCTTTCTTTCTTTCTTTTCTTTCTTTCTTTTTCTTTCTTTCTTTCTTTCTTTCTTTCTTTCTTTCTTTCTTTCTTTCTTTCTTTCTTTCTTTCTTTTCTTTCTTTCTTTCTTTCTTTCTTCCTTTCTTTCTTTTCTTTCCTTCCTTCCTTCCTTCCTTCCTTCCTTCCTTCCTTCCTTCCTTCCTTCCTTCCTTTCTTTCTCTCTCTCTCTCTCTCTATATATATATATATATATTTTTCTTTTCTTTTCTTTTCTTTTTTTTTTTTTGAGACGGAGTTTCGCTCTGCCGCCCAGCATGGAGTGCAGTGGCGCGATCTCGGCTCACTGCAACCTCCGCCTCCTGGGTTCAAGCAATTCTCCTGTCTCAGCCTCACGAGTAGCTGGGATTACAGGCGTGCGCCACCATGCTCAGCTAGTTTTTGTATTTTTGGTAGAGACGGGGGTTTCACCATGTTGGTCAGGCTGGTCTCGAATTCTTGACCTCAGGTGATCCACCCACCTCGGCCTCCCAAACTGTTGGGATTACAGGCGTGAGCCACCGCGCCAGGCCCAGCCGTGCCTTTCTCAGACCCAAGAGTCCAGACCCCCAGCCCCTCCTCCCTCAGACCCAAAAATCCAGGCCCAAGCCCCTCCTCCCTCAAACCCAGGAGTCCGTCCCCAGCCCCTCCTCCCTCAGACCCAGGAGTCCAGGCCCTGCCCCCAGGACACCACCCAAACCCCACCGCACCCCCGATCCTCTTCAGTGTCCACGCCCAGGGCTGCAGGCTTCGCAAGCCTTCCTTTGTTTTCTCCTTGGACCTCCGAAGTAGCCGCGCCCATCGGTCCGTCTTAGTTCCAGAGCCATAGACCACCTGGTCCCTGCTGGCATTTCTTTGCCTGGGAGGGAAACAGGCAGAAAATGAGGGGTTTCGCAGCCCCAGACTGGGAACCATCTGAATGTAGACACAATCCAACAGTAGAATGGAGAAGTAAATTGTGGCCTATACATAAGATAGAATACTCTGTAGCAATAAAAAAGAAACCAGCTGGGTACAGTGGCTCAGGCCTGTAATCCCAGCACTTTGGGAGGCCGAGGTGGGTGAATCACCTGAGGTCAGGAGTTCGAGACCAGCCTGACCAACATGGTGAAATCCTGTCTCTACTAAAAATACCAAAAAAAAAAAAAAATTAGCTGGGCCTGGTGGCGGGTGCCTGTAATCCCAGCTACACGAGAGGCTGAGGCAGGAAAATTGCTTGAACCTGGGAGGTGGAGGTTGCAGTGAGCTGAGATGGCGCCATTGCATTCCAGCCTGGGTGACGGAGTGAGATTCCAAGAAAGGAAAGAAAGAAAGAAAAGAAAGAAACCTAATGCTAGGCAGAAGAAGCCAGCACAAAAGACTGAAGACTGTATGATTCTATTTGCACAACGTTGCAGAGCACAGCTTGCAAAGCTCTACAGAAAAGCAGGAGGCTGGAGTGGGAGGATCGCTTGAGCCCAGGTGTCGGAGGCTGCAGTGAGCTGAGACTGCACCACTGCACTCCAGCCTGGGCATCAGAGCAAGACTCTGTCAAAAAAAAAAAAAAAAAGGTTAGGGAGAAGAGGTTACCTTGTATTTGTGAGGAAAAAGGGGGTGTCAGGGGAGGGACGCACAGGGTGCTGTCATGCCGTGTCACTTGCCCTAGCTGGAGTTTATCTGGGCTCTCACTTTATGAATACAGCCATCCCTCAGTATCCATGGGGGTTGGTTCAAGGACTCCCCAAGAATACTGAAATCTGTAGATGCCCAAATTCCTTATATAAAACGGTATAGTATTTGCATACAGGCTACACACATCCTCCTGTGTTTGTTTTATTTTATTTTAATTTTTATCTGATTTTTACAGACAAATGTCTCGTTTTGTTGTCCAGGCTGGAGTGCGGTGGTGCAATCATAGCTCAATGCAGCCTCAAACTTCCAGGCTCAAGCAATTCTCCCGCCTCAGCCTCCCAAAGCGCTGGGGCTACAGGTATGGGCCACGACACCCAGCCCTCCAATGCACTTTAAATCACCTCTAGATTACTTATAACACCCGGTACAAGGTAAATGTTATATAGATAGCTGTTCTTTTAACTTGTATTATTTTTTGTCATATTGTTACTTTGATTATTACTTTTAAAAAATAGAGATGGGGGTCTCGCTATGTTACTCAGGCCGCAGTATAGTGGCTATATTCACAGGCATGATCCCACTACTGATCGGCGTGGGAGTGTTGATACATTGTTATTTTTTATTGTTTTTTCCATATATATACACATATATATACATATATATGTGTATATATATACACACATATGCATATATATACGCATATATGCGTATATATATACGCGTATATACGCGTATATATATATTTGAGATGGAGTCCCGCTCTATCACCCAGGCCGGAGTCCAATGGCACGATCTTGGCTCACTGCAACCTCTATCTCCCTGGTTCAAGCGATTCTCCTGCTTCAGCCTCCCGAGTAGCTGGGATTACAGGCACCCGCCACCACACCCAGCTAATGTTTGTATTTTTAGTAGAGTTGGGGTTTTGCCATGTTGGCCAGGCTGGTCTTGAACTCCTGACCACAGGTGATCCACTCGCCTGGGCCTCCCAAAGTGCTGGGATTACAGGTGTGAGCCACTGCAATGGGCCCATAATCATTTTTGAAGGAGGGCACCTGCATTTTCATTGTTCACCAGGCCCTGCAAATTATGCAGTGAGAATGGGAAAAGAAAGAAGTTAAAGAGAGGGAGGCTTGGAAGAGGAGGCAAAGATGAAGGAAGGTATAAAGCAGAGAGAAATAAATATTAACAGATTTTGGACACACACACAGAGAGAAACTGAGGCAGAGACAGGATTGGTGGAGACCAGGGAGACGGCAAATCCCAGAGAGAAGAGACCCCAGAGCCATCGAAAGGCAGCACTCACCTGGAGTCCGAAGTAGAGACAAAGATGAGGGGAAGAAAGAAACCAAGAGAGGCAGCTCTGAGCGGGGCAGAGAGAGGCCCCAGAAGCCAGGAGCGGCAGAGGACAGAGGGAGGAGACCGAGTCCAGGGTATGGGAGAAGGGCCCGGTCCGGGCTGTGCGGGTCCCAGCTGGAGGTGGGGCCTCACCTGTGTGCCCGTCTGGCCTGCATGGGCCAGGGCAGTTCCCGGGAAGGGTGAGGGTCCTGCAGCTCTGTCTGGGTGACTTCTGTGAAGGCCTTTCTGCTCCTTCCTCCATCCTCCTCCTCCTCCTCCAGCGCCCCCCAAGGCAGCACCCCAGGGTCTCGGTACCGAAGGGTGGCAGCACTGGGCAGCTCGTTCAGCACAGAAGACAGCGATGGGCCTGGGGAGGAGCAGGGGGCTGGGAAGACCCGGGAGTCTGGGCCCTAATTCCTCCTCCCTCAGACCAGGAAACCAGGTCCCCGGCCCCTCCTCCCTCAGACCCAGGAGTCCAGGCCCCCGGCTCCTCCTCCCTCAGACCCAGGAGTCCAGGCCCCCGGCTCCTCCTCCCTCAGACCCAGGAGTCCAGGCCCCCGGCTCCTCCTCCCTCAGACCCAGGAGAACAGGCCCCCGGCCCCTCCTCCCTCAGACCCAGGAGAACAGGCCCCCGGCCCCTCCTCCCTCAGACCCAGGAGTCCAGGCCCCCGGCTCCTCCTCCCTCAGACCCAGGAGAACAGGCCCCCGGCCCCTCCTCCCTCAGACCCAGGAGTCCAGGCCCCCGGCTCCTCCTCCCTCAGACATAGGAATCCAGGCACCCAGCCCCTCCTCCCTCAGACCAGGAAACCAGGTTCCCAGCCCCTCCTCCCTCAGGCCCAGGAGTCCGGGTGCCAGCCTCTACTTCCCCTGGACCCAGGGGTCCACAGCCCTCAACTCCATCCCCAAGCGTGGAACCCTCCTACTCCAGGGCAGTGGAGTCCAGGCTTCAACTTCCTTTTCCCTCTAGCTCAGGAGTGTGGGAACCCAGCCTCTCCTATTCCCAAGACACCCAAACTCCCAGCCCTTAGCCCTCCCCTCCTCCCAGACTAGCCTGGTTCTCCAGGCTCCTCCTCCTCAGACCCTGGAGTTCCAGCCTCCAGTTCCCTTCTCCCCCATAATATCAGGAAGTGGAACCTTCTCTCTTTAGCCCTCAGACTCAGGAGGCCAGGCCTCCCCTTTCCTCCTCCAGCAGGACTCCCACCTAGCCTGAAGGTCGGATGGATCTGAGCTTCTCCTGGCATTCCCTACCTCCTCTGGCCTCCCGGGGGGCCAGCCACCCCCTAGAGGAGCCCCAGGCTTCTGATTCCAAGGTCGGGTTTTCTTCCATGGCCCAGGCTGGGCTGTCTCTAGTGGCCACCAGGCAGACACTGCCCCAGGTAAGGGAGGGGCCAGGGGCAGGTGTGTACCTGGCCAGCAGGTGGCCCGGAGGGAGTAAGGTACACTTCCTGTGGTTTCTCAGGGCCGCTGATGCGAAAGGTCTCCTGGGAGCTGAAGTCCCCGTGGTGCCCCGGGCCTGACAGTTTGGTTCCTGGGCTGGGCGGGGGGGCTGTACCTCACCCTGGGACTTGGTGGACTAAGTCCTTCCCACCGTTTATCACCCAGATACCTGCACGGACAGGATGCCTTTGTGCAACACTTTATTGGGAAAGATTTACACACGGTGACCTGTCATAGGCCAAGCGATGAGAAGAGGGCGCCAGGAGCGCTGGGGTCCCGAGGTGGCTCAGATGGAAGCCATGGGACGGCCGTCCCCAGGCCCGCGCACCCGCACCTCAGTTTCCCCTTTGTGAAATGGGAAGCTTATGCTTCCTTCCAAGTCTGCAATATTGGTGCGATGAGCTAAAAGTGGAGCGAAAGACACAAGGAAGAGGCTTCCCACTCCCAGGACCTGCCCCCAAGCTCCGACCCCACATTGTGGATGCAAAGAAAGGGAATTTGCCCAAAACCCACTGCCCAGGGGCCCCTTCCGTTTTGGGGAAGTGCAGTGCTCTCTGGATACCCAGAAGCTGGAGCAGGGGCCAGTGACTCTTGTCTGGACAATACTTTGATTTTGTAGGAGTGGAGGTGGCCTCTGGGCAGAGGGCAGGGAGGACACCCCCGGGTCTGCTTCAGTTGCAGGCAGGGTATTTAGCTGGGGAAGAGGAAATTCTCTCCAGGACCCTCTCCAAGGTAAGGACTCTTTCTGGGGAGGAGACAGCAGCCTGGTTCACAGAATTCCCGGGACCAGCTGGCAGAGGGAGCGTCGTGACAGCTTACTCCTCCCGGAGCTTCTCTGGGGCAAGGCTGGTGGGCTGGGATGCTGCCTTCCGCCGGCTGGGGCTGCCCCCACCTAAAGCCAGCCCCAGCCCCAGGGCTGCCAGGGCCAGGAAGTGGATACAGAAGTAGATGGAGGCCCAGTACCGAAGGGTGTCGGCCAAGGAGAGCAGCACGAAGCCCATGCACATGTAGTCATAGGCGCGCATCTTCAGGAACCAGTGCACCCAGTCCCAGGCCTTCTGGCCCCCTGGGCTCAGCCGCCCCCGCAGGGCTGACTCCAGCCGGCCCTCGGCAGCCAGGCACAGCGGGATGGTCAGGAAGCTCAGGTAGTAGCCCGGGTGGAGGCCGTGCCAGTAGGCGCTCAGCAGCATGGTCCAGGCGCTCCTGAGGAGGAGGCTGGGAGTCAGGACCTACGAGTCCAGGTCCCCAGTGCCCACTGCCCCCAGATCCAGGAGTCCAGGACCCCAGCCCCTCCTCCCTCAGACCGAGAAGTGCAGGCCCAGCCCCTCCTCCCTCAGACCCAGGAGTCCAGACCCCACCCCTTCCTCCCTCAGACCCAGGAGATCAGGCCCCAGTCCCTCCTCCCTCAGACCCAGGAGACCAGACCCCACCTCCCTCCTCCCTCAGATCCAGGAGTCCAGACCCCACTTCCCTCCTCCCTCAGATCCAGGAGACCAGACCCCACCTCCCTCCTCCCTCAGATCCAGGAGACCAGGCCCCAGGCCCTCCCCACTCAGACCCATGACCCTAGCTCCGGAAGGCGGAGGAGGCTACAGGCCTCTGTCTCCTTCAGGGATCCAGGAGCTCGCAGCCTTCCATACACACTCAGTCCTATCAAGACCCTCTTCTTCTTTAAAGATTTAACATTTTATATTCCACTGCCCTTCCTCTCCCAGGACCAACAAGTCTTAATTCTTCAGCCCAGTGGTTTTTTTTTTTTTTTTTTGAGACAGAGTCTCGCTCTGTCGCCCAGGCTAGAGTGCAGTGGCGCGATCTTGGCTCACTGCAAGCTCCGCCTCCCAGGTTCACGCCATTCTCCTGCCTCAGCCTCCCGAGTAGCTGGGACTACAGGCGCCCGCCACCACGCCCGGCTAATTTTCTTTTCTATTTTTAGTAGAGACGGGGTTTCACCGTGTTAGCCAGGATGGTCTCGATCTCCTGACCTCGTGATCTGCCCGCCTTGGCCTCCCAAAGTGCTGGGATCACAGGTGTCAGACACCACACCCGGGCAGCCCGGTGGTTCTTAACCTGGGGTCCCAGGTCTGGCATCAGCATCACCTGAGAACTTGTGAGACATACAAATCCTTGTCCCCACCCCTTTTGCACCAGAAGCCCTGGGGGTGGGGCCCAGGAGAAGTCTTCCAAGTTAACAAGTCCTCCAGTGACTCTGATGCCTGTTAACATTTGACAACTCCTGCCTGGCTCATGAAGATCCAGAAGTCCCTGGCCTGTGGTCCTTCCTTATTCTGGGCCCAGGAGATATGTTCCTCTTCCTCCAAGGCCCAGCACCATCTTTCCTCACTCTTTTTATTTTTTTGGAGACAGAGTCTCGCTCTGTTGCCACACGACAAGGCTCACTGCAGCCTCTGCCTCTTGGATTCAAGCGATTCTTATGCCTCAGCCTCCCAAGTAGCTGGGATTACAGGCAAGCGCCACCAAACTCAGCTAATTTCTGTATTTTTTGTTGTTGTTGTTCAGACGGAGTCTCGCTCTGCCGCCCATGCTGGAGTGCAGTGGCGCAATCTCGGCTCACTGCAACCTCTGCCTCCCGGGTTCAAGTGATTCTCCTGCCTCAGCCTCCCGAGCAGCTGGGACTACAGGTGCCCACCACCATGCCAGGCTAATTTTTGTATTTCTGGTAAAGACGGGGTTTCACCATGTTGGCCAGGATGCTCTCAATCTCTTGACCTTGTGATCCACCCGCCGTGGCCTACCAAAGTGCTGGGATTACAGGCGTGAGCCACTGCACCCAGCCATTTTTGTATTTTTAGTAGAGATGGGGTTTCACCACGTTGGCCAGGATGGTCTCGATCTCCTGACCTTGTGATCCACCCACCTTGGCCTCCCAAAGTGCTGGGATTACAGGTCTGAGCCACCGCGCCCAGCCTCTTTTTTTTTCTTTGTAAAGATGGAGTCTTGCTATGTTGACCTGGCTGGTCTCGAACTCCTGAGCTTAAGTGATCCTCTCACCTTGGCCTCCCAAAATACTGGAATTACAGATGTCAGCCATTGCACCTGGCCAACTCTTGTTTTCTTGAGAAGGGAGGACCATTGGCTTTCTGGTTCTTCAAGAGTGCGGAGGCTGGGTGCAATGGCTGGCACCTGTAATCCCAGCACTTTGGGAGGCTAAAAATACAAAGATTAGTCTGTCATGGTAGCACGTGCCTATAATCCCAGCTACTAGGGGGGCTGAGACAGGAGGATTGCTTGAACCTGGGAGGGAGAGGTTGCAGTGAGCCGAGATCACGCCACTGCACTTGAGCTGTAAAATAAACAAAAACGATGGATCCTGTGCATTTTAAGGTGTTTAGGAGCATCCCTGGCCCCCACCCACGACATCCGACTAGCACCTTCCAGTTACAACAACATGTCTCCAGGGATTGCCATGTGTCTCCTGGGGGTGCAGCAGCAGCACAGTTGCCCCCAGTTGAGAAGCACTTGTCTAAACACTGGGGTGCTTTGACCTGGCCTCAGCCCCAGAGCTTTAAGCGTCATCTATACCTGGCCAGATGCAGTGGCTCATGCTTGTAATCTCAGCACTTTGGGAGGCTGAGATGGGAGGACTGCTTGGGGCCAGGAGTTTGAGACCAGCCTGGTCAACACAGTGAGACCTCATCTCTATACATTTTTTAAAAAGTAAAAAAAAAATAATAATAATACTTAAAAAATTTTGGCCGGGCATGGTGACTCACGCCTGTAATCCCAGCACGTTGGGAGGCCGAGGCACGCGGATCACTTGAGGCCAAGAGTTCGAGACCAGCCTGGCCAACATGGTGAAACCCTGCGTCTACTCTTGGCACGAGAATCACTTGAACCCAGGAGATGGAGGTTGCAGTGAGCTGAGATCACAACACTGCACTCCATCCTGGGTGACAGAGCATCAAAATACTAATACTAATACTAATACTAATACTAATACTAATACTAATACTAATAATAATATCCTTCTTACTCCCAAAACTTACCCTTCCTGGGTCTTCCCCTTCCACATTTATCTAATTAAATTAAATTAAATTAATAATTATTTTTGTTTGTTTTTTGTGTTTTTTTGTTTGTTTGTTTTTGAGACAGAGTCTCGCTCTGTTGCCCAGGCTGGAGTGCAGTGGCGCGATCTCGGCTCACTGCAAGCTCCGTCTCCCGGGTTCACACCATTCTCCTGCCTCAGCCTCCCCAGTAGCTGGGACTACATGCACCCGCCGCCACACCCGGCTAATTTTTTGTATTTTTAGTAGAGACAGGGTTTCACCGTGTTAGCCAGGATGGTCTTGATCTCCTGACCTTGTGACCCACCCACCTTGGCCTCCCAAATTGCTGGGATTATAGGCATGAGCCACCGTGCCCGGCCTATTTTATTTTATTTTGAGACAAAGTCTCTCTCTGTTGCCCAGGTGACCTTGGCTCACCGCAACCTCCGCCTCCCGGGTTCAAGTGATTCTCTTGCCTCAGCCTCCCTAGTAGCTGGGATTATAGGCGCCCGCCACCATGCCTAGCTAATTTTTTGTATTTTTAGTAGAGAAGGGGTTTCTCCATATTGCCCAGGCTGGTCTTCACCATATTGCCCTGACCTCAAGATGATCCACCTGCCTGGGCCTCCCAAACTGCTGGGATTACAAGTGTGAGCCACCATGCCTGGCTATGAGTTCTACTTCTGTTTTTTTTTTTTTTTTTTTTTTTTTTTTTTTTTTTGAGACGGAGTCTCGCTGTCGCCCAGGCTGGAGTGCAGTGGCGAGATCCCAGCTCCCTGCAACCTCTGCCTCCCGGGTTCAAGCCATTCTCCTGCCTCAGCCTCCCGAGTAGCTGGGACTACAGGCGCCCACCACCACACCAGGGTAATTTTTTGTATTTTTAGTAGAGACAGCATGTCACCATGTTGGTCAGGCTGGTCTCGAACTCCTGACCTCATGATCCACCTGCTTGGGCCTCCCAAAGTGCTGGGATTCCAGGCGTGAGCTGCCGCACCCGGCTGAGTTTCTGCTTCTAAAGGCTGCACAGATAACAGTGTCAAGCACAGAGTCTCCACTCGAGAAATATTGGAAGAATGAAAAACAATAAAAATGAATACACAGCACGCACTTACCTGTCAGGCCTCACATTAAATACATTTCACATTTTATCACATTTAGTCCTTCTATCTACCTATGAAACCAGTAATAAATAGCATTCACTCCATTCAACACTTGAGGCAACTAAGAGGTCAACTAACTCCTCAAGGTTTCTCCATAACCTGGACGGCCAAGATTCCAGGAAGGCTGGCTATTGAGTCCACAGGACTCAGTACATTGCTTCTGCTGAGTGAGGCTGACTTTACAGAAGTAGCAACTGAGGCCCCGAGAGGGGGAACGATTTTACACCGGCATGCTGCCACTATAATTAGAGGCAGGGCAAAACCAGGCTAAACAAACTACAATTCCCATGAGCCTCCGGGGGCAGGGGCCCAGCCAGGGACGCTGCAGGCTACCCTGGGGCCTGCTGGGAGATGTAGTTCTGCAGTGTCACCTGAGACTGGGCGGGCTCACTCACCGCAGGACATAGGAACGGGCAGGTGCGCTCTTGTAGATATACTGCGCCAGCCACCACTGCACCGTCATGTTCCAGTACCGCATGCCATCGCGCACCCGCACGCAGAAATCTGTGCTGTAGCAGTCGATGTTGCGGATGGTCTCATAGTCATACTCCAAGGAAGCCGCCTTCTCCGGACTGGGGGGTGGAGGATGAGGGTGGGGGACAGACATGCAGCTCAGCCAGGCCCCCTCCCGACGCCTGCTAGTGTCCCAGCCCCGGATGCTAAGGAAGGGATCCTGGCCAGGCAATGGCCCTCTGGCTGTCAGACTTGCTAGGGCAGCAAGGGAGGGTGGCCCAGAGGGTGCCTGTAGGGTAGGAAGGTGGGTGGGCTGGGTGGTACAGTTCACTGACAATGGGGTTCTTCTTCTTTTGGTACCTAATGGGGCCCGCCACAGCCATGAAAAGCCTTGAAGGGCTATGGTTGCTAAGCTATGAGTCCTTTAGCAACCAAACTCAGTATATTCAGAGAAGCCGCCAAGGATGGTCCCTTCTAAATTGTCGGACACTGCAGTTGCCAGGGAAGTTGTGGTTATCATCCCTAATAACAAGGTGCTTCACGGTTGCTAGGGAGATGTTCCAGGCGCCAGTGGGGTCCCCATGATCTTTGTTGCTAAGGAAAAGGCATTCCTTAGCAACAATGCCTAGGATGTTTAGAAAGGCTTTTAGGAAGGGGCTTTTTTCCTGGTCGCAGTGATTATTGGAGAAGTGTCACCTCTAGCAATACAGTGGCTCCCTCATCACTCATGTCGACAGCCCCAGCAGTGGGAAACACTGGCCCATATGAAGCCTTGGTGGCCTCTGATGACAGGAGGGGAGCCATCCTTTAGGAGTGAGGACCGAGCAGATTTAGAAAAACCTTCAATTCCTGCTTGGCTTTACTAGGGGGACATCCTCTCTCTAGCAGCTGGAGGTCAGGGCACGGTTATTAGGGCAGTGGTAACAAATTCCCGTGGGGGTGTCACTACCCCCACAACAGAATGGCAGTTTGTGACGACTAGGGGACAACCCTAGCAGGGAGTAGTAGTTCATCATTTACATCAACAGGCTGTTCCCCCAGCCGCAGTCCAAGCCCCTGGGGGAAGGCTGACTGCAGCTGTCAGGAACACAAGGGCAGTCTACTCCTGGTTGCCGGGGGTGCCATCTCCCTAGCAACACGGGGGCAATACTTCCTCAGCCACAAGAGAGTCCACAGCTATGGCCGTGCGACTTGCCTAGCAATGCAGGTGCCGGGGGGTGGAGCCTCTCTGGCAACAAGGGTCAACCCATAGTTTCCAGGGGGAGGTTTGGCTTCCTTAGCAACAGTGTAACTGTAGTTGGTAGGAATGGCGTGCCCTCTGCTGGGGAACAGCACTGGTCAGGGATTGGAAATTGCTATTTCCTTGCAGAGGGCTGCTGAGGGCTGCTATGTGAGGACATCCCACGGGGTGGAGCAGTGCTAGCTCCTAGCAACAAAGGGGCAGTGCAGGGAGTGCCGTATCTGCAGCAACAGAGCAAAACTTCTGGTAAAAAGGAGGTGAGCTACTGTTGCTAGGGATCCTGCTTCCCTAGCAAATAGTGGCGTTCTGTTGCTAGGGAACCGTTTCCCTAGCAACAGAGGGTGACCCACCACTAGCAAAGGATGGCATCCCCAGCAAGCAGGAACAATCTGGTTCTGGGGGGTGACACTTCTGTGGCAACAGAGGGGTGGCACAGGGTTGCTAAGTTACCACCTTTTCCTAGCGACAGGGGGCAGTTCACCACACTGCGGGGTGACAAGCGCTAGCAACAAGGGGCATCTGTCAGTACCAGGGATCTTTTCCCTACCGACAGGGGCTGGCAGGCCATGGTTGCCGAGGGGGCGACACTCTGCTCAAAAAGGTGGTGGCCCTGGCCCCTTGCTCCCCGCTCTCCTCCCGGCTAGGGGCAGAGCCAGCCCTTGGAGGTGGGGGCTGCTGGGTCTTGGGAAGCCTCCCTCGCGCCGCCTGACCTGCTGGGGGGTGGGCATTGGAGGGTGGGGCCGCCTCCGGCCCGGGCTTTGGCGGCCACGGGGTAGGCCCCAAAGCCGGCGGCAATGCAGCCGCACTCGGCGGCAATCCAGGCCACGTAGAAGCGCATGCGGAAGGCGAAGAAGACGGGGATCATGTAGAAGAGGCGGGCGGGCAGCGGGCGGGCGTAGAAGGCGTCCTCGCGCACGGCCTCCAGCGGGAAGAGGTGAGAGGAGAGCAGGAACAGCAGGCCGAAGAGCGGGGCCGGCCAGGCGCGGCGCAGCAGGGGCCGCAGGCTGGGCACTGCCCCGGGGAAGGGCTGCTCCAGCCAGTCCAGGTAGGTGCGGTAGCGGAAGAACGGGCCTGTGGGGCGGGGAGGGAGGGCCGCGGTCAGACAGGCAGGTGGGCAGAGCTCAAGTCTGCAGGAGGAGGACAGGGAGCTTGGAAGGAAGGTGGGAAGAGGGAGTGAGAGGGGCAGAGACTGGGCGCCGGGGAGACCCCAAGGGTAGGGACTGAGACCCTGAGAGATGGGGATAAGGAACGAGAGACAGGGGGGACAAGAAACTCAGAGAGACAGAGACAGTAACAGAAAAACAGACAGAGGGGCCGGTGCGGTGGCTCACACCTGGAATCCCAGCACTTTGGGAGGCCTAGCTGGGAGGACTGCTTGAGCCCAACAGTTGGACAGCAGCCTGGGCAAAACGGCAAGACCCCATCACTACAAAAAATAAAAATCAGCCAGGTGTGGAGGGCACCTGAATTCCCAGCTACTGGGGAGGCTGAGGCGGGAGGATCGTTTGAGCCCAGGCTGCAGTGAGCAGTGACTGAGCTACTGCATTCCAGCCAGGGAGGGAGGGAGGGAGGGAGGGAAGGAGTGAAGAAGGGAAGAAAGAAGGGAGGGAAGGAGGGAAGGAAGGAGGGAGGGAAGGAGGGAAGGAAGAAGGGAGGGAAGGAGGGAAGGAAGGAGGGAGGGAGGGAAGGAGGGAAGGAAGGAGGGAGGGAAGGAGGGAAGGAAGGAGGGAGGGAGGGAAGGAGGGAAGGAAGGAGGGAGGGAAGGAGGGAAGGAAGAAGGGAGGGAAGGAGGGAAGGAAGGAGGGAGGGAGGGAAGGAGGGAAGGAAGGAGGGAGGGAGGGAAGGAGGGAAGGAAGGAGGGAGGGAGGGAGGGAAGGAGGGAAGGAAGGAGGGAGGGAAGGAGGGAAGGAAGGAGGGAGGGAAGGAAGGAGGGAGGGAAGGAGGGAAGGAAGGAGGGAGGGAAGGAAGGAGGGAAGGAAGGAGGGAAGGAAGGAGGGAGGGAAGGAAGGAGGGAGGGAAGGAAGGAGGGAGGGAGGGAGGGAAGGAGGGAAGGAAGGAGGGAGGGAAGGAGGGAAGGAAGGAGGGAGGGAAGGAAGGAGGGAGGGAAGGAGGGAAGGAAGGAGGGAGGGAAGGAAGGAGGGAAGGAAGGAAGAAGGGAAAAGGGAAGGACGGAGGGAAGGAGGAAGGAAAGAAACTAGGAGATAGCTGTGGCACTTTAGCTACAATATGATGGTGGTCTGGCCTAGGGAGGAAGCAGTGTGATTCACAGAAGGGACCGGGGTTAAAATTTTTATATGTTCACAAAGGCCGTATGTTTAGGTCAATGTAGCATGGGAAGATAAAAGGAAAAAAAAAACAAATTAAAATAAATAAATAAGACCACATGTTGTATGATTCCATTTGTAAGCGCAATGTCCAGAACAGGCAAATCTTTACAGATAGAAAGTCAATTACTGGTTACCAGGGATGGATGGAGGTTTGTGGGATGATGGACATGGGGTTTCTTTGCAGGGTATGAAACTGTTCTGAATATAACTACACAATGGTCATGTCTGCACAACTCGGTGAATATACTAAAAATCAGGGAGTTGTATGTTTTGTGTTTTTTTTTTTTTCCAGGAAATTAAAGAAGCCAAGAGTTGTATGTTTTAAGTGGATGAGTATGTGAATTAGAGTTCCCTAAAGCTGTTATTGGAAAAAAAACCTTTGATGAGGTAAACATTAATGAAAAATATTTTCTTTTTAAAATTTCACATATATATACACATACACACATACATATATATACACACATGCACACACACATACATATGTATTTTTTGAGATGGAGTCTTGCTCTGTTGCCCAGGATGGAGTGCAGTGGTGTGATCTTGGCTCACTGCAAACTCCGTCTCGTGGGTTCAAGCGATTCTCCAGTTTCAGCCTCCCAAGTAGCTGGGATTACAGGCACACACCACCATGCCCGGCTAATTTTTGTATTTTCAGTAGAGACGGGGTTTCACCATGTTGGCCAGGCTGGTCTCAAACTCCTGACCTCAGGTGATCTGCCTGTCTCAGCCTCCCAAAGTGCTGGGATTACAGGCGTGAGCCACTGCGCCCGGCCCTTTTAATTTTATATTTATTTATTTTTTAAAAATAAAGGTTTAAAATAAAGGGACGGGATCTTGCTATGTTGGCCAAGTTGATCTTGAACTTTTGGCCTCAAGCAATCCTCTCGCCTCAGCCTCCGAAAGTGCTAGGATTATAGGCATAAGCCCCCACGCCCAGATGAAAAATATTTCCTTAAGCTGAAAGTGGACCCTAAGCCGTGAATATTTGTTGTCTGGGAAGCAAAAACATCAGGTTGACATAGATCTTTACCTCCTTTATCTCTTCTCTTTGCTCCCAATACGCTACAAGGAGAAGAGCAAGGAATTGCTTAGGTTGAGACAGCCAGCTTCTACCCCAAAGCAGCTCTGGTCCAGCGGAGGTGTGAGACGTAGACCCAGACACATGCCCACCCTCACAGCAGCAGATGCTAGGATGGAGGTTGCCCTGGGCAGGGCGGGAACACACAACAGGCACTCAGGGCGGAAGGGGACACAGGAGACAGAGCGGCAGAGTTGTTAGGGCAGCCCCACTCACCTGTCATGATTCCCACGTAGCAGTAGCTGTAGCTGAGTGTCTCCATCAGGGAGGGCACGTCGGGCAGCAGCCCCAGGGTGGGCCCCTTGCTGAAGCCTGAGGCCATTTCCTTCCTCTGGGCCAGATGCAGGTCCTGGACTTCACTGGCCAGGCTCACCAGCTGGGCAGAAGGGGGTGGGCAAGGGGCCAGGTCAGACTCTGGGCCCTTCCCCACACCCATCTCCCTTGCGCGGCTGCCCTCGGCAGCCAAGGGGTGCTGGGTGCCCGCAGCTCTGCCCATCTAGGTTGTGTGTAACGCCTCTAGCTGGGCGGTGTTCCCCAGGGCTCAGTCCCAGGCCCTCCTCCCCTTTCCCTGTTCTGTGCTTACCTGCTCTCACGCAATCACGGAGGTTTCGATACTATCCACACGCTGAGGACGCCCAAACGCTACCCCAGCCCCAGACCTATCCAATCAAGTGGCTTATTGGCATTTATACTCGGATGTCTCCAGGCACCCCAAACGCACTGGAAACGGAACATGATGTTACCCACCCCACAAGGTAGACCCTCTTCTAGTGTCTCCCCTCAAACAACAGGCCACCAAATTGTTCAAGCCAAAAATCTCCCTCACTCCCCAAATCCGATCCTTTAATCTCTCTTTTTTTTTTTTTTTTTTTTTGAGACAAGTTTTGCTCTGTCACCCAGGCTGGAGTATACTGGTGTGATCTCGGCTCACTGCAACCCCCACCTCCTGGGGGCGCAAGCAATTCTCATGCCTCAGCTGGCCAGGCTGGTCTCGAACTCCTGGCCTCAAGTGATCTGCCCGCCTTGAAATCCCTTAAGTTTGAGTCTGTTGCCTCTTTCCATCTCCACTACTGAGCTGAATATGTTGTACTCTCCACCCTTTCCCACCAGTCCCAAGGTCCACCCTATATCAATAGATCTCCTTCTTCCAGCTTGTGGCTGGGTTGTCAGTAGAAATCCCTGGCTGGAGACAAAGTCAGGAGAGGGAGGGTAGGGCTTTTATTCCCTTGTAAGATGGCCTTGGGCTGGCTGTCACCCTTGATAGATCATTTCAAGGTGGGTGGCTCTACACACCCTTTAAAAAAAATAATTTTGGCCGGGCGCGGTGGCTCACGCCTGTAATCCCAGCACTTTGGGAGGCCGAGGCAGGCGGATCACCTGAGGTTGGGAGTTCGAGATCAGCCTGACCAACATGGAAAAACCCTGTCTCTACTAAAAATACAAAAAATTAGCCGGGCATGGTGGTGAGTGCCTGTAATTCCAGCTACTCAGGAGGCTGAGGCAGGAGAATCGCTTGAACCTGGGAGGCGGAGGTTGCGGTAAGCCAAGATCGTACCATTGCACTCCAGCCTGGGCAACAGGAGTGAAACTCCGTCTCAAAAAAAAAAAAAAAAAAAAAATTTAGGGCCAGGTGTGACGGCTCACACCTATAACACTAGCACTTTGGTTGGCCTAGGCAGGCAGATCACTTGATGTCAGGGGTTTGAGACCAGCCCGGCCAACATGGTGAAACCCCATCTCTACTAAAAATATAAAAATTAGCAAGGCGTGGTGGTGGGCGCCTGTAGTCCCAGCTACTCGAGAGGCTGAGGCAGGAGAATCGCTCGAACCCGAGAGGCAGAGGTTGCAGTGAGATCACACCACTGCACTCCAGCCTGGGCAACAGAGCGAGACTCCATCTTTAAAAATAAATAACATTTAAAAAATTAATTTTTTGTAGAGACAGGGTCTCACTATATTGCCCAGGCTGGTCTTAAACTCCTGGCCTCCAGCAGTCCTCCCACTATGACCTCCCAAAGCGCTGGGATTATACAAGTATGAGCCACTGCACCAGGCCTACACAACCCTTTTTCCATCCAGGTACCACAACCTGACCCATTTCCCCTGGGCCTAGGGTTGGGAACGGCTCCTTCTGCGGGGCTGGGGTTCAGGCACCATCCCTTCTTGCTCTTCTACATCCTGCCCAATTGGTGGCCACTCCTTCAGTCATCCTAAATGCGCGTTTCCTGCTGCAACTCAGACCTACCCACAGCCAGCCAACGGCCTGTATCAAGCCACCACAGTTTGTCACCTGGACTCGGACAAAGGAGGATCCCTTTATCTGAGTCCATCCCATCTTGCCCTGTTCCACTTCAATTCTCCTTCAGCATCCAGAACGAGTTTTCTTTCTTTTCTTTTCTTTTTTTTTTGAGATGGAATCTTGCCCGGGAAGGCCCAGGCTGGAGTGCAATGGCGGGATCTTGGCTCACTGCAACCTCCACCTTCCAGGTTCAAGCAATTATCCTGCCTCAGCCTCCTGAGTAGCTGGGATTACAGGTGTGAGCCACCACACCCGGCTCATTTTTGTATTTTTAGTAGAGACGGAGTTTTACCATGTTGGCCAGGATGGTCTCAAACTCCTAACCTCAGGTGATCTACCCGCGTCAGCCTCCCAAAGTGCTGGGATTACAGGCGTGAGCCACCGCAGCTGGCCTAGAATGAGTATTTCTATTTGTTTATTTATTTTTGAGATGGAGTTTTGCTCTTGTTGCCCAGGCTGGAGTGCAATGGTACGATCTCAGCTCACCACAACCTCCGCCTCCTGGGTTCAAGCAATTCTCCTGCCTCAGCCTCCCGAGTAGCTGGGATTACAGGTATGTGCCACCACGCCCAGCTAATCTTTTGTATTTTTAGTAGAGACAGGGTTTCTCCATTTTGGTCAGGCTGGTCTTGAACTCCCGACCTCAGGTGATCCGCCTGCCTCAGCCTCCCAAAGTGCTGGCATTACAGGCGTGAGCTACTGTGCCCAGCCAGAACGAGTATTTTTAAACATTTAAAACTGGTCACATTGCCTCTTCTGGCAGCAAACCAAAAATCCCCTCTTCCAGCAGATCTCAATCCTCCACGGGAAGAAGTCCAATGTCCTCACGGTCTCCAGCCAGGCCTAGCACGGTGTCAGCCCTGCTGCCTGTTCCCTTTTGCTCGTCCCAGAAAGTGGATGTGGCTGGTGTAGCCTGTGGAACCCAGCCTGCTCCCCTCCACACATCCTGCGGCCTGAAATGCTCCTCCACGAACCCCTCTCTCATCCAACCTACTCCTGCCACCACTGAGCTCCCACAGGGCACACTGAATGCTGGGAAGGCCACTCCCTACCTAGCATGACTGCTGTGTTCACGGATAAGCCGCCAGTAGGAAACCATGACTCTGTGGGTCTGGGGTGGGCCCTAGGATTCTGTTTTTACCCCTCTTCCCAGGTGATTAGGAGCCAGACCTGGATGCCCTAGTTTTGTTCCCTTCACCAAGTACCTTCTCCCCAGAGCTGGTTTTTCTCCTTTGCAAAATAGCTGGCTACAGAGATTCAAGGACAGCATGTTGGTAAACCACCCAGCTGGGCCTCTGGCACACCGCAAGCACCCAATGGCACCTACTGTTACCTATGTGGGTTATTTCCTCACCCCAGGAGGAGCTGGGAGGTGAAGACCTGCCCAAGGGCATGTGAATGGGGAATGCTGTGCCCAGGGCAGCAAGTGAGGTGACGTCCCACCCCCAGGGTGTGTTGGAGGTAAAATCCCGGGGAGCCACTGAAGGGGGAGGTAAAGTGGGAGGTGAAGGGGCCCACAGGGAGGCTGGAGGGGAGTGGCAAGCCCCGAGTCTGACCTTCAGCGTCAGCAGCAGCTGGACGGCATTGGTGAAGGGCGTGGGAGTGGGCAGGCCCAGGAGGCTGAGGGCTCGGAAGAACAGGAGATAGGAGAAAGTCCAGGCCAGAGCCAGGGCGTGGCAGGAGCTGGGCAAAAGCAGGAGGCGCACTGTGTTGGGCACAGAAGTCTCGGCCTTGGCCATTCACTCCACGAGTCCAGCCACCAATCCTCCCCCAGCTCTCCCCATTCGTTTAGAGACAGAAACACAGAAGGGCAGAGAGGACAGGAGGGTGGATGTAGGGACCGAATGAGTATGATTGAAACAGTGGGAGAAGAGGCTCAGCCACATAGAAACACACACCAACAGAGAATGAGGTTAAGAGAAGCTTCAGGTGAAGACCCTGCAATCCTCCACTTTTTCTTTATTTCCGAGGTCCAGGGCTCAAGAAGAGAGAGGTGGATATGAATGAATATGAACGGTGGCCAGGCCAGCAGACACACTGTCCACCTCTCTCCATGACATGGATGTAGCGGACTGGGACAAACACACAGGGACCAGACGCAGAAGGCAGGGGAGAAAGAAAAGCAGATGAAGGCCGGATACGGTGGCTCACGCCTGTAATCCCAGCACTTTGGAAGGCTGAGGTGGGCAGATCACAAGGTCAGGAGTTCGAGATCAGCCTGACCAACATGGAGAAACCCCGGCTCTATTAAAAATTCAAGATTAGCCAGGCGTGGTGGAGCATGCCTGTAGTCCCAGCTACTTGGGAGGCTGAGGCAAGAGAATCGCTTGAACCCGGGAGGTGGAGGTTGCAGTGAGCCAAGATCGTGCCACTGAACTGCAGCCTGGGCAACAGGAGCGAAACTCCATCTCAAAAAGAAAGAAAGAAAGAAAAACAAACAAACAAACAAACATGAAACAGAGAAATGAGCTGATCAACAAGAGACAGCTAGAGATGAGGCAGAAGCTGAAAAAGACTCAAAGAGGAAACAGGTTGCTTCCCCCTCTCCCCTCCTCTCCCTCTCCTCCCTCCACCAAATTCTCACCAGGGCTGGGCCTGAATGAGGGCCCAGGTCCCGAGGATGGTGACCAGAGAATGCAAAGTGTGGGGGCCACAGGTGAACAGGGTGAGCCCCAGGCCCACAGCGGCTGCTCCCCATCTCTTCAGCCCAGGACCTGCAGGGGGAAGGGACAGCATAAGCCTGGAACCTTCCAGAGGGTCCCCCCCCTTTATTTTCCACTGGGGAGGGAGCCTGACTCACCGGCTTTCTTAAAGAGGAAGCCGATGGGGATGGAGATAAGAAGAACCACTAGATACGTCCATTCTTCAGGCGACATGGTCTGGGGGAGGGGCAGAGATTCACAGTGAGAACCCAGGAATCCAGGCCCCCTGCCTCCTCCCTCTTCGAGGATCCAGGAACCCAGCCTTCTAGACCCCAGTTTTTGAGGATGATGGAGTATGAGCCTCAGCTCCTCTCCTTTGAGAACCTAGCAACCCGGACTCCAGCCCCTTCCTCCTTGGAGGAGACAGGAATCCACCCCCAGCCCCTCCTTTGAGCGCACAGGCCTCCAGCTCTCCTGTCCTTGGAGAACCCAGGAAAGTGTGGGGATCTCCCAGCACCCAAGCCCCTCCTTTGCGAACGCAGAAATCAAAGCTACTCCCCGCACCCATACTGGGGACCCAGATTTGAAGACGCCCCTCTTTTAAAAACCCAGAAACGGCACCCCTCCCGGACCCTTCCTCTTCGACAGCCCAGGAATCTAGACCTCCGAGCCCCCTCTTCCAGCGAGGATCCAGGAACCCAGACCCCCTCTTTGGATCCCCCATCCCCCGGCCCTTGTGAAACCAGATATCCGGACCCCCCAGCCCTTCTTCGAGACCACCCAGAGGAGCCCGGGTCTCCAACCTGCACCTCCTTCGGAGCTCCACACCCCTCTCCTACTGAGAACCCGGGGATCGAACACCCTCCCCTCCCCAGGCCCAGGCCCAGGCCCAGCCCCAACCCGTCCCGCGCACCCCAGCGCATCCCCGGCAGAGCCACAGGCGGTTGCGCCAGCCCCGAGTTCCAACGCGCCTCCGGGGCCGCCCCGCACCCGCCAGCCCGCAGAGACCCTGCCGCCGTGTAACCTCGCCTCGCCACTGGGCGCCGCCACCCTGGCCCACCTGAGCTGCTCGCCGGGCAGGAGGCGGCCGAGCAGTCCCAGCCCGCTTGCCGCCGCAGCTCCGGCCACGCCTCCCCCGCCCAGCGCGCCCCCGCGCCGCCTGCTCCTTCTGGGCGCCCGCCGGGCTGCGCAGATCAGGCCGGGGAAGAAGCCACGGTCAGGGCCCCGGGCGGGCAGGGAAGAAGCCCCGGAGCAGAAGCCGAGAGCGCGAGTCGGCAACGGGATTCGAGTCCAGGTCCACACTGGGATCCGAGCTCCGAGTACGTGAAGGGGCGGGCCTTCGGGCTCGGAACAAGGAGGAGCCAAAAGCTTTGGACCCGAAGGGGAACAGACGGGCTCCGGAAAGGAGGCGGGGTCTGGAGCTCGCCGTGAGGAATGAGGCGGGGTCTCCCTTCGGGTTCCTTCGGGCACAATCGGGAGCTTGAGTTCTCCGGAAGCGGGGCCACAAACTTCGGCTCACTTCGGCAATAGTCGAGAACGGAGAGCTGAGGCCAGTGTGGGCGGAGCCACATGTTTCGGCTTTCTTCGGAGGTAGTCGAGTCCTTAGGGTCACTGTTCCGATGTGGGCGGGGCCACAGACTCGGCCGGATGTGGGTGGGGCCACAAGCTTCGGTTTACTTCGTAGATAGTTGGGTACAAGTGACGCTAGGATGATAGGCGGAGTCAACAGGTTCGCCAGATACCCATGAGTATTTACAAGGGGGCGGGGCGAAAGCGACTTGCCCTCAAAGGGGCGGAACCCCGAGGGCCGGCGTGCGCCTACGGGACCGGGCCAGGGTGACGATCCTCAAGTTCCCAAGTAGAGGAGAGGAAGCGGCAGAGGGAGGTGCGCTCAGTGGGGCGGAGCCAAGGTGGCCCCCGCGGGAGGAGGGCGGGGCTTCGGTCCTGCGAGGGGCGGGACCTGACTTCCCGCGGCGCTGATGGGGCGGGATGACGAAGTTGACGAGGGTGTCGGCATGAGGGGGTGGAGCAAGGAGCGCGTGGCGCGGTGCGCAGTGGGTGGCTCCACCTCGACTGCGAATTACTGTTTATGAGGTGACTCGCTGGTTCTATCGGTGGACAGTGGGACATTCTGAAGGGAGGCAAGGAGGCGGACTGAGCGCTCCCAATTGGGGTGAGCCCGCCCGAGCGGAGAGTGGACGGCGGGTGTCCAGGGGGCGGGGCTTTCGGCTGTGGGGTTCGGTCGTAGGGCGGGAACTCCCCAACTGGGGTGCGCTGGCGCTCGGAGGGGGCGGGGCCACAGGCCGCGAGGCTGCCGGGAGCCGATGACGCCCGAACGCCGAACCTATTGCGTCCGGGAGGAGGCGGGGCTACGGATTCGGCCGAGCCGAGAACACCCGAACGTCAAATTGCTGGCGTTCGGGAAGGGGGCGGGGCTGCGGATTCGGTGGAGCCGAGGACGCCCGAACGCCGAACTTCCTGTGCTCGGGAGGGGGCAGGGTTTTGTACTGTGGGAGTCTGAGAGCGAGGAGGTCCGAAAGCCGAATCACAGTCGTTCGGAAAGAGGAGGAGCGAAGGCTCGAGCGTCCGGAAGAGGGTGTGGCCTCGGCGGTGCCTTAGCCTCCAGAGCTTCTGACCGCTGACGGGAACACCCGAAGGGGGACGCCCACTTTGCAAGAGGGTGGTGCCAAAATGGACCTTTGTAAGGGGGCGTGTCGCCGCGCTTGCGGAGGTTTGTTTTTCACGCTCCAAGGCGCAATGGTAGGTACGGCAGTGCGGGCACAGAGCGGGTGCCGACCGCAGGGTCACAAGGGTAGAGCGGGACCCTGGGGGCTTGGCGAGGGGCGAGGGTCGGGGGCTTGTCTCCGGCGTCTCGTCTCCGGCGGCCGCGAGGCCTGGTGGGATCGCCCGGGGGCGGGGCCTGGCGCTCGGGCCCAGCAGGTGGTGAACGGCGGCTGAGCGAGGCCCCGCCCCCTGAGGCCTAGGGGCGGGGCTTCGCCGAGACCCCGGAGGCTTTGGGTGCGCTGCAGCGGTCTGCGGCGCGCAGCTGTTTCGGTAACTGCTTTGCCTCCCGGCTCCCGCAGGAGGATGCTGGTGGTGGAGGTGGCGAACGGCCGCTCCCTGGTGTGGGGAGCCGAGGCGGTGCAGGCCCTCCGGGAGCGCCTGGGTGTGGGGGGCCGCACGGTAGGCGCCCTGCCCCGCGGGCCCCGCCAGAACTCGCGCCTGGGCCTCCCGCTGCTGCTGATGCCCGAAGAGGCGCGGCTCTTGGCCGAGATCGGCGCCGTGACTCTGGTCAGCGCCCCGCGTCCAGACTCTCGGCACCACAGCCTGGTAAGGGGGCGGGGCTCGAACTCGGGTTCGGTGGGAGCGGGACCTGGGAGTCAAGTTTCCTGGCTTCTGAAGGGACCATAAGCTTGGAGGTTCCAGCGAAGTGTGCTTCTCAGGCCCTGACATCCTTCAAGCGCCAGCAAGAGGAGAGCTTCCAGGAGCAGAGCGCCTTGGCAGCTGAGGCCCGGGAGACCCGTCGTCAGGAGCTCCTGGAGAAGATTACGGAGGGCCAGGCTGCTAAGAAGCAGAAACTAGAACAGGCTTCAGGGGCCAGCTCAAGCCAGGAGGCCGGCTCGAGCCAGGCTGCCAAAGAGGATGAGACCAGTGATGGCCAGGCTTCGGGAGAGCAGGAGGAAGCTGGTGAGCATGGGAGGTGGAGTCCAGGGACCACGGGAAGGAGAGGAGAGATCTTTTAGGAATTTTAGCTGGGAATCCAGTGCCTGGGTCTCCCTGAGGGTGAGAAGACTTTACCCCTTGAATTTACCAAACTCTTCTCTGTACTCCCCACCAGGCCCCTCGTCTTCCCAAGCAGGACCCTCAAATGGGGTAGCCCCCTTGCCCAGATCTGCTCTCCTTGTCCAGCTGGCCACTGCCAGGCCTCGACCGGTCAAGGCCAGGCCCCTGGACTGGCGTGTCCAGTCTAAAGACTGGCCCCACGCCGGCCGCCCTGCCCACGAGCTGCGCTACAGTATCTACAGAGACCTGTGGGAGCGAGGCTTCTTCCTCAGTGCGGCTGGCAAGTTCGGAGGTGACTTCCTGGTCTATCCTGGTGAGTATGGGTTGGGGCCTCTGGTTGCTGTGCCTTTCCATACGATCCCAATGTATTCTGCGTTTTTCTTTTTTTTTTTTTTGTCTTAATAGAGGTGGGGTCTCTTGTTGCTTAGGCTGGTCCCTATTCCTGGGCTCAAGCAATCCTTCCACCTCGGCCCCCCAAAGTGCTGGAATTATAGGCCCAGCTGCATTTTTCTTTTTTGTCTCACTTTCTCTTAGCCTCTGAAATTCATAGACAGACAGGAAACATTTGGGAGCTCCTGAACTCATTGGGCAAGCAGTTTAACGACTTTTATTAAATGATTACTGTGATCCAGAAGATTCACTTAGAAGTAGTTAGACATCAGGCTGGGCGCAATGGCTCACGCCTGTAATCCCAACACTTTGGGAGGCCAAGACAGGTGGATCACCTGAGGTCAGGAGTTTGATACCAGTCTGGCCAACATGGTGAAACCCCATCTCTACTAAAAATACTAAAACTAACTGGGCGTGGTGGTGGGTGCCTGTATTTCCAGCTACTCGGGAGGCTGAAGCAGGAGAATCATGTGAACCCAGGGGGCAGAGGTTGTAGTGAGCCAAGATCGTGCCATTGCACTCCAGCCTGGGGGACAAGAGCGAGACTTTGTCTCAAAAAAAAAAAAAAAAAAAAGCCTAGAAGTGGAATAGTTGTGTCCAAGAGCATCTGTTTTAGAGTATCTATAGTGATGGCTGAAATGATCTCAGATCTCCTCCCAGTGGTCGTTCCCGTGGCGTCCAGCCGTCTGCCATTGGTCACTGCTTCAGTGCCTCTCTCCTTCCCCCAGGTGACCCCCTCCGCTTCCACGCCCATTATATCGCTCAGTGCTGGGCCCCCGAGGACACCATCCCACTCCAAGACCTGGTTGCTGCTGGGCGCCTTGGAACCAGCGTCAGAAAGACCCTGCTCCTCTGTTCTCCGCAGCCTGATGGTAAGGTGGTCTACACCTCCCTGCAATGGGCCAGCCTGCAGTGAACTCCAGAGACCTAGGGGATGTGGCTGTGTCGGCAGCAAGAGCCTTTCTGGATGTTCCCCAGCTCTTCTCTGGGAGTCTAGAACATCCTCCTACCTTTCTCCGCGGTTAGTTTTTGATTCCAGGTTTTCGAACACTACATCTTTTTTATGTTCTTCCTTGTTTCAAAGCACTTATTGGCTGTGTTTTTGTAGTTACCTATTTTCACACTGTGAGCTTCCCGAGAATGGGGCCTGGGTTTGATTCATCTGTTTTCTACAGGGTTTAAGTCTCAGGAGGTCTCAATAAACTTGGTATATAAATGTTCATGATTTGAATGTTTGCGACAGTCCTGGAACCCGTGGATGGTCTCATCTGCATGTACAGGTGAGAAAAAGGCCTGGAGGGGGGGGACTGACTTGCCCAAAGTCACACACTTAGTAAATAGCAGGCCTGGCCTTTCAAAATTGGTTTTTCTGACTCCTAAATCTGCACTCTTTCTACCTCACTAAACTTCCTCTTGAAAAGATTTCTATGAAATTTCCCAGATGCATACAAACGTTATAAATAAAAATATAGGCTGGGCACGATGACCCACACCTGTAATCCCACAGAACTTTTGGAGGCCAAGGCAGGGGGATCGCTTGAGCCCAGGAGTTTGAGACCAGCTCTGGCAACATTGTAATACCCAGTCTCTACAAAAAATAATTTAAAAAAAAATTAGCCAGGGATCCCTTGAGCCTGGGAAGTTGAGGCTGCTGTGAGCTGTGATTGCACCACTGCCCTCCAGCCTGGGAGACAGAGCAAGAACCTGTCTCAAAAAATATATATATGTGTGTGTGTATATATGTAAATATACACACATGTATGTATATATATGTGTGTGTATATATATATATATTATGAAAGGAAATGAGTATTGTAATTTTAGGAGTTCAGAGCCTGGGGAGAAAGGAAGGACTCTGGAAGGCGTTCTGCTTTTTCATGGCCTGGGTAGTGGTGGAGAATTTTTTTGATACTGTATATTTATATTTTAGACTCTTTTTTGGATGTGTTATATTCTGCAATTTTTATAAAAGCTAAAACACATGTATTTGTAAAAAATTTGCACTTATGAAATCATTTACCCATGTTTTTGCTTAAGAAAGTACTAGAACACTACCACTATTCCAATAATTACACCTTTATCTTATCAATGTGCAGTTTTATTTTGTCACGTTTATTTTGTCAGTGTAATACATTCACATGGTGAGTCTGGGCGTGGTGGCTTATGCTTGTAATCCCAGCACTTTGGGAGACCAAGGCGGGCGGATCATGAGGTCAGGAGTTCCAGAGCATCCTGGCCAACATGGCCCGCCTCTATGAAAAATACAAAAATTAGCCGGGCGTGGTGGCGGGCGCCTGTAATCCTAGCTACTCCGGAGGCTGAGGCAGGAGAATCACTTGAATCTGGGAGGTGGAGGTTGCAGTGAGCCAAGGTCACGCCACTGCACTCCAGTCTGGGCGACAGAGCTAGACACTGTCTCAAAAAAACAAAAACAAACAAAAACTTCCACATGGTAAAATTCTGGGGCTGAAAGTCTCCACCTCTAGTTCTTCCATTTCTTCCCCCCATGTTTCATTCTTTCTCTTTTTTGTGTGAATTGAGCAGCCTCTGGAACCAGAATAGGTTTAGAGAGACTCCCATCTCCCCTCTTTCTTGCCATTCCCAGTAAACAGACTTCATAGAATCTCAATTTCCTGTAAGTTTAGATTAATTTAAAATATGACACTGGGCCAGGCGTGGTGGCTCACACCTGTAATCCCAGCACTTTGGGAGGCTGAGGTGGGCAGATGAGTTTGAGATCAGCCTGGCCAATATGGTGAAACCCCATCTCTACTAAAAATACAAAAAAAAAAATTAGCCGGGCGTGGTGGCATGCGCCTGTACTCCTAGCTACTCAGGAGCCTAAGGCAGGAGAATCACTTGAATCCAGGAGGCAGAGGTTGCAGTGAGCCAAGATCGCACTACTACACTCCAGCCTGGGCAACAAGAGCTAAACTCCATCTCAAAAAAATAAAAAGAAAAGAAAAAAAATGACGCTAACCCCTGTCTGGCCAATACTCTCTTTGTGCCTGCTTCATAATTGGCTTTGTAAGTCTATTCTCCACCCTTTCTCCTCTCTACAACAAAGTACTTAGAAGTCTCATTCCCTCTGTCATGAGTCTCTCCTCTGAAAAGTTCCTCATTTAAAACTCCTGTGGCCAGATGTGGTGGCTCAGACCTGTAATCCTAGCACTTTGGGAGGCCAAGGTGGGAAGATCAGTTGAGCCGCTGAGCTCAGGAGTTTGAGACCAGCCTTGGCTGAACATAGTGAGACCTCATCTCATCTCTATTTAAAACAAACAAACAAAAAAAAACTTTTGTGACTGGTGTCCCCCCATGTTGTCAGTCAACAAATTCTATAGGTGCCATGTTCAAAGCACTGTGGATCCACAGTTAGGCCCCACCCTCCACCTTCACTGCCAGTATCTTAGAAAAACCAAACCATGGCTCATTTGATATTGATAGCTTCCTAACTCATCCCCTGCCTTCCATTCTTGCCCCTCTGTTGTCTGTTTTCAACAGAGCAGCCAGAATCATCGTTTTTTTTTTTGTTTTTTTTTTTTTTTTTTTTTTTGAGGCGGAGTCTCGCTGTCGCCCAGGCTGGAGTGCAGTGGCGCGATCTCTGCTCACTGCAAGCTCCGCCTCCCGGATTCACGCCATTCTCCTGCCTCAGCCTCCCTAGTAGCCGGGACTACAGGCGCCCGCCACCTCACCTGGCTAATTTTTTGTATTTTTAGTAGAGACGGGGTTTCACCATGTTAGCCAGGATGGTCTCGATCTCCTGACCTTGTGATCCACCCGCCTCGGCCTCCCAAAGTGCTGGGGTTACAGGCGTGAGCCACCGCGCCCGGCCAGAATCATCATATTAAAAGATAAGTCAGACCATGTCACAGCTCTGTCTAAAACTTTCCTGGAGTTTTCCATCTCAGAGTAAAACTCAAAGGTCCTACTTTGCAGCTTCCTCATGAACTGGCCATGTGCATTCTCTTCCTTGCTTATTATTATTATTATTATTTATTTTTTTTATTTTTGAGACAGAGTCTTGCTCTGTTGCCCAGGCTGGAGTGCAGTGGCACAATCTCGGCCCACTGCAGCCTCTGCCTCCTGGGTTCAAGTGGGTTCAAGCGATTCTCCCACCTCAGCCTCCCAAGTACCTGGGATTACAGGCGCCTGCCACCACGTCAGGCTAATTTTTTGTATTTTAGTAGAGACAGGGTTTCACCATAATTGCCCAGGCTCGAACTCCTGAGCTCAGGCAATCCGCCCACCTCAGCCTCCCAAAGTGCTAGGATTATAGACATGAGCCACCGTGCCCGGCCAGCTTTGTTCCTCTTTACTGCTGGATATTCCATTGTATGGACATAACCCCATTTTATTTATCCATTCATCAGGTGATTGGCATTTGTTTCTAGTTAAGGACAAGGTTTTGGTTTTGGTTTTTGTTTTATTTACCCTTGTTCATGCAGTATCCCCAGGTCCAAGAACAGTTCCTGGCACACAGCAGTCAATACATTGTTGCTAAATAAATGAGTGGCTTAAACTATAATTTTTAAATCAGGGCTGAGACAATTTGGAAATTATAATTTCTCCTACATGACTTTCTAAGCATATTTTAAATAAATATACATACGTTAAGGTCATTTTTATTAATGAAAATTGTAGCATACTATGCACACTTCTGCATCTTGCTTATTGGATATGCCCAGGCTTGTCTCATTTTTGCCAACAGCTACATGGTTTTGCGTCCTATGGATGGGGCATAATTAGATTTTATTACACTTGTACAAAAGGAAAGGAATTCAGCTCCCCAAGCATGCCCAGCTGGTCCTTGGCAACCCATGATGGAAACCAAGGGTTCCTCTTATATTACCCGTGCTCCTTTCAGAGAGGAAGGGCTAGAGGGCTCCAGCCTGAGTGAGAGAGAGAGAGGAGGAAGCATGAGGGGTTTGTGGAAGAGGGCCTGGTGCCATATGACTGGACCATGCTTCTGAAGAGGATCAGGGTGAGGCCAGATCTCATCAGTTGACCCTTGAGCAACATGGGTCTGAACTGCTCGGGTCCACTTTTATGCAGATTGAAAAAAGTAAAGGTTACACAGAGCATGCCTGCCTCTCCTGCTTTGCCTTTTACCTCCTCCACCTCTGGCACCCTGAGACAGCAAGACCAAACCCTCCTCTTCTTTCTGCACCTCTGCCTACTCAGAATGAAGACAAGGATGAAGACCTTTATGATGATCCACTTCCACTTAATGAATAGTAAATATATTTTCTCTTTTTTAGAATTTTCTTAATATTTTCTTTTTTTTTTTTTTTTGAGACGAAGTCTCGCTCTGTCACCCAAGCTGGAGTGCAGTGGCGCGATCTTAGCTCACTGCAAGCTCCGCCTCCCGGGTTCACGCCATTCTCCTGCCTCAGCCTCCCCGGTAGCTGGGACTACAGGTGCCTGCCACCACGCCCGGCAAATTTTTTGTATTTTTAGTAGAGATGGGGTTTCACCGTGTTAGCCAGGATGGTCTCGATCTCCTGACCTGGTGATCCGCCCGCCTTAGCCTCCCAAAGTGCTGGGGTAACAGGCATGAGCCATCACGCCCGGCCAATATTTTCTTTTCTCTAGCTTAATTCATCATAGGAATACAGAATATAATACATATAGCGTATAAAATATGTGTTAATTGACTATGTTATTGGTAAGGCTTCCAGTCAACTACGAGTAATGTTTTTTTTAAATCCTGAGACAGTGTCTTGCTCTGCCAGCTGGGCTGGGGTGCAGGGGCATGATCTTAGTTCGCTGCTGCCTCAACCTCCTTGACTCAAGCAGTCCTCCCACCACAGCCTCCCAAGTAGCTGGAACTACGGGCACACACCACCACACCCAGTTAATTTTTCTGTTTTCTGTAGAGTCTGGGTTTTGCCGTGTTGCCCAGGCTGGTCTTGAACTCCTGGGCTCAAGTGCTCTGCCCACCTCAGCTTCCCAAATCCCACCTGGGGTTACAGGTGTGAGCCACGGTGCCTGGCCTAGTAGTTAAGTTTTGGGGAAGTCAAAAGTTATATGCAGATTTTCTTTCTTGATTTTTTTTTTTTTTTTTTTGAGGCAGTCTTGCTCTGTCGCCCAGGATGGAGTGCAGTGGTGCGATCTCGGCTCACTGCAATCTCCACGTCCTGGGTTCAAGCGATGCTCTTGCCTCAACCTCCTAAGTAGCTGGGATTACAGGCACCTGCCACCACGCCTGCCTAATTTTTGTATTTTTAGTAGAGACCAGGTTTTGTCATGTTGGCCAGGCTGGTCTCGAACTCCTGACCTCAGTTGATCCGCCGGCCTTGGCCTTCCACATAGTGCTGGGATTACAGGCGTGAGGCACCGCGCCCAGCCTATATGGAGGTTTTCGGCTGAGCTGGGGGTCAGTGCCCCTCGCCCCCAGACTGTACAGAGTCAGCTGTGTTAAGATATTAAGCACCTTCAGTACACAAGACTCTGTGCTGGTTTTCTTTTCTTTTTTTTTTTTTTTTACTCTAAATCATCAAACCCTATGAGGAAAGTCCTGTTACTTTCTCCCATTTAGCACTCTTGAAGAGGCTAATTTGCCTAAGATCAAGAGCTCGTCAGTGACTGCTGAGGTTCAAACGCAGATCTTTTTTAAGACTTGAGAACCTACAGGTTCAACCACCATTATAAAACCATCTCTGTAATCACGAGGCACCCGGAATTTGTGGAGCTTGGACTTCATCCTGAAGGGAGTGAAAACTTATGGAAGTTTTTTCCTTCCACGTTTCCCCCTTCCAGATGAATAATATACGCGTGTTCAAGATACAAAAATGCATAAAATTTGGCCAGGCATGGTGGCTTACACCTGTAATCCCAGCACTTGGGGAGGCTGAGGCGAGTGGATCACTTGAGCCCAGGAGTTCAAGACCAGCCTGGGCAATATGGCAAAACCCCGTCTCAAAACAACAAAACAAACAAACAAAAAACCCATAAAACTGAACAAGGTAGTTTGTAAGATATGGAAGTACAATGCAGATGACAATAATGACGATGGTAGCTACCACTAGGCGCTTTATTTATGCCACTCTCCTCAACACTGGATAGACTCTCACTTAATCCTCACAAGCTTATGAGGTAGGCGCTACCATCATTCGCCGTTTTACAGAGGAGGACGCTGAGGCACAGAGTGATTGAGAAACTTGTCGAAGGCACTGCAGCTGGCAAGTGGTGACGTGGCATTTGAATCCAGGCATCCGGATGGTGTGGATGCCGTGGAAGAGAAAGGGGCGGGTGGGACTGCTTCCTGAGGAGATAGTGACTGCCGAGGCAGCAGCGTAGGGAAGACAACTGAAGAACACGAGCTGTGGAGACAGACCATCGCATTCGGAGTGGAGAGATGGGTGTACAGACAGACAATAACCAGACTATATATAAAAAGAGAACTCTAGGTCAGGCGCGGTGGCTCACACCTGTAATCTTAGCACTTTGGGAGGCTGAGGCGGGTGGATCACTTGAGGTCAGGCGTTGGAGACCAGGAGTTCAAAACCCCGTCTCTACTAAAAATTTAAAAATTAGCCGGGCATGGTGGTGGGCGCCTGTAGTCCCAGCTTCTCGGGAGGCTGAGGCACGAGAATCGATTGAACCCGGGAAGCGGAGGTTGCAGTGAGCCGAGATCGCACCACTGCACTCCAGCCTGGGTGACGAGAGCGAAAAACTCCGTCTCAAAAATAAAATAAATTACTGATAATAGTACTAATACCCCTTAAGTGGCTATTGATAATAATAGTACCATGGGTGGGGGGGCAACTTCTCTGAGAGTGCTCTGTAAGTATGTATTGAAGATTGAGTAAATACATTTAAAATTCTTAGAACAGTATGTGGCACATAGCGTTCCAGAATGCCACATTATTGTTAGTGACAGAAATAATCTCGGCTGGGCGCGGTGGCTCACGCCTGTAATCCCAGCACTTTGGGGGGGCCACGGCGGGAGGCTCTCTCGAGGCCGGGAGTTCAAGACCAGCCTGGGCAACATGGCAAGACGCCGACTGTTAAAAAAAAAAAAATGCTACCCGGGCGTCGTGGCGTGTGCCTGTAATCCCAGCTACTGGGGAGGAGGTGGGAGGATCGCTCGAGCCCGAGAGGTTGGTCGGGGCCTCAGTGAGCCGAAATCACGCCACTGCACTCCAGCCTGGGCGACGGAGCGAGACCCTGTCTCAGAAAGAAAAAGAAAAACCACCGTCCAGGGGCGGAGAAGGAAGGTTCTCCCTACTTCTCAGGTTTCCACTCCCTGGCCGGAAAAAACCTAGTCCTCCCAGGTTAGCACGCCGCTCTAGCCCAGCCTCACGTCTCCACTGCTTCTCAGCCAGCCAACGCCTCTTCTGATTGGCTCTGACGTGCGTGGTGCGTGAAAACGTCACGAGACGCCGGCGTTACTATAAGAGCGCAGCCGTGGCGCTTGCGCGCCTCTTTCTCAGTGACCGGGTGGTTTGCTTAGGTGAGGTGCGGCGGTGTGCTTTTTCTCTAGGGTTTGGGTTGGATGGTGGCCCGGGCCTTCCGAGTTTCCATGAGTAAGCTAAAGACGTTAGGAAACAGAGCAGGGTGGTTGAACGGGAGTGCAGCACGGTTGTGGGGGCAGATACTGACTATGAGAGCGTTGGAGGTTATTCTCGCGAGATCGGATCTGGGCTCCGCGAGGTTTTGGCGTAGTTGTGGGACTGCGCAGGCGCCGTTTGGAGCCCTTACGCTCACACTTCTCTCCCGCGCAGGCGCAGACGGGGAAGCGGAGCCAACATGCCAGTGGCCCGGAGCTGGGTTTGTCGCAAAACTTATGTGACCCCGCGGAGACCCTTCGAGAAATCTCGTCTCGACCAAGAGCTGAAGCTGATCGGTGAGTGGCCAAGGCTTCCGGGAAGTGGTTCGGCTTCCGGGAGGCGGTTAGCACGTGGATGAAGGTGCCCATGTACTCTATCTAGTCCGTCCCCTAAATTTGGTACTATTCGTGGTTTAGGAAGGTTTTGTGATTCCAAAGCTGCCAGTCTAGTTGTTGTGCCAGTACGTGGGACTACACTTGTCCACCCCCTTCTCCCCACCAGGCGAGTATGGGCTCCGGAACAAACGTGAGGTCTGGAGGGTCAAATTTACCCTGGCCAAGATCCGCAAGGCCGCCCGGGAACTGCTGACGCTTGATGAGAAGGACCCACGGCGTCTGTTCGAAGGTGCGTATGGGAGTCCACAGCAGAGGGATGGGGTGCAGGGCTTGTGAGGTTCATTCTCCCTTCTGTTGCCTCTGTTCCAGTGATGAGAGTTGTGTCATTGGATAAATGGAACCAGCCTTCTAACTTTTAGTGGCACTTGTGAAGTAGGAAAAGTGTATCTGGATCAGTCTTTGCCCTGTTTCTTAGGTGTGTGGCTTTTTTGCCCAGTTATTGGACCTTCAGTTTAGTAATGACCAGAGCTAAAGATAGGCCTGGCACACCTGGGCACCCGTCTATATCTTTATATTCTGTTTATGTGGCCTGTTTGCTAGTGGATGAGAGTAGACTATGAAGTGGAATTTCTGGGCTAAGTGATGGTGATAACAGGGTTTGCACATTTGCTTGGTTTATTGTTTTTTTAATTAAGTTTTCTCGTTTTATTTAGTCTTTTGAGACGGAGTCTTGCTCTGTTGCCCAGGCTGGAGTGCCGTGGCGCCATTTCGGCTTACTGCAACCCCCGCCTCCTGGGTTCAAACAATTCTCCTATCTTAGCCTCCCAAGTAGCTGGGACTACAGACAGGCGCACGCCACCACACCTGGCTAATTTTACTTTTGAGACGGAGTCTCGCTCCATTGCCCATGCTGGAGTGTAGTTGTCGCAATCTTGGCTCACTGCAAACTCCGCCTCCAGAGTTCAAGCGATTCTCCTGTCTTAGCCTCCTAAGTAGCTGGAATCACAGGCATGGGCCACCAAGCCTGGCTAATTTTCTATTATTAGTGGAGATGGGTTTTCACCATGTTGTCCAGGCTGGTGCTTGTTTTTTTAAGCTGGTCAAGGACATTTAGGTGGTATTTAGCAAAGGCCTGAACAGGAGAGAACCTGTAAAATGTCTCAGGGAACAGCATTTCAGGTGATGACTTTAGGAGGGCATGCAGATCACATAGACTTAGGCTTACTTTACTAATTGTGGTGAAATACACATTAAATTGAAAATGTACCATCTTAACCATCTTGTTTTAAAATCTACTCTGAGATGCGGTGTTATTGGAGTGCTTTCTACAGCAGATTGGCATGACCAAGATTGGCATTTGTATATCCTGAGACGCTGCTTTTGCCTGAGTTTGGGTAGTCATGATTTATGGTGAAAAGCAGTCTCTACACCTGAGCCCTGACTGTTAGGCATGAGAGTGGTCATCCATGTTAGGCGTTGAGAAAGTCCTGGCGCATGTTTAGCTACAGATTATCACAGTTTGTCCCAGGCTTGCAGATGTTAGAAGCTTTTTCTTTAAATAGGCACAGGATCTTGCAGTGTTGACCAGGATGGTTTCCAACTCCTAACCTCAAGTGATCCATCCACCTCAGCTTTCCAAAGTGCTGGGGTTACAGGTGTAAGCCACCGCACCTGACCCTTTCATTCTTTTCGTCAATTTGTAGACCCCGTTGATAATCTCATGAAAGTGCTGGAGATCCCTCCCCCATAGATACTGATGCTGGGTGGGAATTCATCCCAGGGTTCTGTGGGGAGTGGGCTATAGCTGGTTCTGGTTTTAGGGAGGACTTTCTGGACATAGATCCTAATTGCAATGAAACTTACAGTCATGTGAGAAAGCGGTGCAGGTGTCTGAGGGTTATTTGTGGTTTTCCAAGGCAGAAGTGAAAATTCCCAAGGGGTACACAGTTGTTCAGGTGAGTACACTTTCTAGTAAATGAAGCCATCTAGCCTAGTCAGGGACAGGAAGGAGGAGCTTGGATGTTTGCTCTTTGGTGTAATCCTGCCTTGATTCAGATCCAGCCTTTCCCACTAAGATGTGTGACTAGCGAGATTCTGAGTCTCGTCTGTTAAGACTGAACAGCCGCCAACATTTGGCTGGCAGTTAATAATCAACAGATAGAGGCCAGGCGTGGTGGCTCATGCCTGTAATCCCAGCACTTTGGGAGACCGAGGTGGTCGGATCACTTGAGGTCAGGAGACCTCAAGTCAGAGACCAGCCTGGCCAACGTGGTGAAATTCCATCTCTACGAAAAATACAAAAATTAGCCGAGCATGGTGGTGTGCCTATAATCCCAGCTACTCGGGAGGCTGAGGCAGGAGAATTGATTGAACCTGGGAGACAGAGACTGCAGTGAGCCGAGATCCGCGGCACTGCACTGGGTGACAGCGAGACACAAAACAACACGAACTCCCCCCCCACCCCCCAGCACAACTGTGAAGAAATGTAGGAGTCATGTCCATTTTTCAGATCAGAAATGAAGGCATTGTAATACCTAACTGCCTTGTATGATGACAAGGACCTGTTTCCCACTGAGGTCCTCCCTGGTTTGCATTTTTAAAGCATTTTAAATTCTCTTGGTGCATTGGCCCAGTGGAGCCTCAGCAGTAGGACATGCTTTTGTTGAAGGTGTAAGGTTTATTGTGCTGTTGAAAACTATTGTCTTCATACTTAAAGGTTTTGCCTGTGGCTGACTCTCCTGTTCTTTTTCAGGAGATAGATGGTTCAATAAATGTGGGCCTGAGTGCAGTGGCTCATGCCTGTAATCCCAGCACTTTGGGAGGCAGAGGCAGGCGGATCACCCGAGGTCGGGAGTTTGAGACTAGCCTGACCAAAGTGGAGAAACCCCTTAGTCTCTACTGAAAAAATACAAAATTAGCGGGGCGTGGTGGCGCATGCCTGTAATCCCAGGCTGAGGCAGGAGAATCCCAGGAGGCGGAGTTTGCAGTGAGCCGAGATCACGCCATTGCACTCCAGCCTGGGCAACGAGAGCGAAACTCTGTCTCAAAAATGATAATAAATGTGAAACATTTTTTTAAAATCATGCCTTTGTTTTGCCTAATGGTGACGATCTCACTTTGTCTCCCGGGCTGGAGCACAGTGGCATGGTCGTGGCTCACTGCAGCCTGGACCTCCTGTGCTTAAGTGATCCTCCTCAGCTCTAGTAGCTGGGACCACAATCCACCATGTACCACCATGCCCAGCTAATTTAGTTTTACTTTTTTGTTTGTTTTGGTACAAATGCGGTCTCACTGTGTTGCCGAGGCTAGTTTCAAACTTCTGGACTCAACTGATCCTCCTGCCTCAGCCTCCCAAAATATTGGGTTTATAGGCCAGGCATAAGGGACTGTGCGTGGCTTAAGTTTCCATTTTCTAATGTAAAGACAAAAAGGCGTGAAGTGTCCAAAGAGGTAAATGATCCCAAACTCATTTTCATTGCCTTTTGGACATGTTTTTGTATTTTGATATTCAGGTGTTTAAATATCCTCTGATGTTGAGTTAAAAAAGAACAAAAATTGAAGCCATAGTATGACATAGGATGCTGGAAATGCACACAGCTGGTGTTTCCATTTTGATTCTCCCTACCTGTAACTGCTCCCTACTGGGAAAACTTTGGGTCCTCACAAAGTGAGCTAGCTTTCTTTCAAACTTTGCTTGGAGGGTAACAGTGCCAGGAATATCAGAAGTGCCTGATGCATGTAGATCTATTTATGAAAGCTTGCTTGAATGGTTTGCTGTAACTAGTAAGAGCCACTTTTTATAAAAGTGCACATAAGGAAAAAAGGTTGAGGTGTTTACCCCAGTCAAGGGGCAGTTGATTTGCTGAAGGCGTGTGGGATTATAGCAGTGAGCGGGAGCCTAGGGGATGGCGTTTGCCCCCAGGGCCCTGGGGCTGTGGGCAAGGGCAGTCCAGAGTATTAGCTAGAAGCCATGGCTTTGGACAGGGTAAGGAGCAAGCCGTCCTGAGCCTGGGGTTGGAAGAAAGGTGTAGTAGGGCATCTGTTGGATATTTTATGCAGTGCATTGTTAGGTTATATACATACTAGATCTATTTTTGGTGGAAAATTTTGTACAGAATAGTAAAATGAATGACATGTACTTAGCTGGAAAAATTCTAGTGTTAGAAATTACTTTTCTCTCCTTAAAAGATGTAGATACTGCTATTTATGGCACGGAATGTGATTCAATCTCACATCTGCTTAATCAGAAGAGCTTTCTGGGCTGAGGATATGAACTCTTCAGCACTGTGCTTTGTTACGGTGGTAGTAGCTTAATAGCAGCTGCATTTGGTCTTTTGCAGACTGAGTCCTTGTAAGGAGGTGATTTCCTTTACTCTTGCTAAGAATGTGGAGCGAGGGATGTATGCTCTCAGATGAGGAGGCAGGTGTATTTTGCCCTCCTGTCATCTGCAGTTTACTATGAATGATGACCTGACAACCATAGGGTAGTTTGGTTTTTTGTATTGTTTTGTTTTGTGACAGGGCCTCACTCTGTCGCCCAGGCTGGAGTGCAGTGGCCCCATCTCAGGTCACTGCAACCTCCGCCTCCTGGGTTCAAGCAGTTTTCCTTCCTCAGCCTCCTGAATAGCTGGGATTACAGGCAGTGCGCCAACGGCCTGGCTAATTTTTCGTAATCTTAGTGGAGACGGGCTTTCGCCATGTTGGCCGGGCTGGTCTCTCAAACTCCTGACCTCAAGTGATCCGTCTCGGACTCCCGAAGTGCTGGGATTACAGGTGTGAGCCACCACTCCCAGCCCGTAGGGTGGTTTTGACAGTGACATGGGTCACGGTGATGGCGCTGTACTACTTGTGCCTCACCGCCGCGGCATGGAGCTACCAAGAGGCGGAGCCAGGATTTGAACCCAAGAAGCCTGAGGTCAGAAGGCGGAATCAGTGTTTCCTCCCACTCTTCCCAGGCAACGCCCTGCTGCGGCGGCTGGTCCGCATTGGGGTGCTGGATGAGGGCAAGATGAAGCTGGATTACATCCTGGGCCTGAAGATAGAGGATTTCTTAGAGAGACGCCTGCAGACCCAGGTCTTCAAGCTGGGCTTGGCCAAGTCCATCCACCACGCTCGCGTGCTGATCCGCCAGCGCCATATCAGGTACCACCTCGGATGGGCACCTGAATCTTCCTCCACCTGCCCCTCTGATGGTTGCCCTCACTAAGCCTGCTGTCCCTATCTCCTATGCAGCCCTCGGAGGTGATGGGTGTGAACTCACCCAGAGGGTACAGATTCACCCTTGCACACAGCTCACCAGGGAGCTGGGGCAGCCTCTTGCCCCAATAGCCCAGCGCAAGGGTCACTGCGGCTCTAGCCGTACACCTTGTGAAGGCCTCTGCCAGGCATGTGGGCAGCTGGACAGGTAACAGCTCTTGGTGTCCCCAGTGGAGGGAGAGAACCAGCCTCACCTCGCTTGGGTGGTGGGTTCAGCTGTCTCCTGGCTCGCTTGTGAAGTTGATTCCAGACCCCGATCCATGACTGCGTTCTGGGTACTCAGTGTGCCCTTTCTGTAATGTGGCACCATTGAGGGGGAGGAGCTGTACAGAAAGAGGGCAAGATGTTTGCGTTTAGAATCTTCGCCCCAGCCCTTCACTAACCCTGTGAGCCGTAGGCAGAGCCTTGTGTGTCAATGCTTTCGTCGGAGACGTAGCCTCGGGTTGCTGTGTTATTGTGGGCATTGCTGCTGCACGTGGTAATACAGCTCAGTGTCAGGTGTGGGGTTCACGATATTTCAGACTCGGAACTTGGGGGCTCTCACATGGCCATCTCATTTGCTTTGTGGTCTTAGGTGGGATACTTTCAGATTTCTCCTATAAAATGGGGTTGAGAAAGTCATCTGAAGCATTTTTGGGGATTAAGGTGATACCCTAAAACCCCGGAGGGCGCACGTAGGATCAGGTGCACCCTTCCTGCAGCGCCTTGGTGTCTGCAGCCGTGGCGGCCTCACGGGGTGGGTGGAGAGGAAAGAGTGGTGCGGTAGCTGGGGTTAGCGTCCGTTTCTCCTCCAGTCCACCTCACCTTGTCGCTTCTTCCAGGGTCCGCAAGCAGGTGGTGAACATCCCGTCCTTCATTGTCCGCCTGGATTCCCAGAAGCACATCGACTTCTCTCTGCGCTCTCCCTACGGGGGTGGCCGCCCGGGCCGCGTGAAGAGGAAGAATGCCAAGAAGGGCCAGGGTGGGGCTGGGGCTGGAGACGACGAGGAGGAGGATTAAGTCCACCTGTCCCTCCTGGGCTGCTGGATTGTCTCGTTTTCCTGCCAAATAAACAGGATCAGCGCTTTACAATTGGTGTGTGGGGGTCTCTCATCCTTGACTCTTTCCCCTGCTCTAAACATGCAGCCTTCCCTGGGAGGCTCACTCACTTGGGAGTGCCTACCAGCTAGTGGTCCCTGGCCTCTCAGTACTATTCTACAGTAGTGAACACACATCTTTACCAGAAACTTCTGTCATCAGGGGAGAGACGAGTGGTATTTTTGGAAAAACTGTGTCAAAACCAGAAGGAAATTCCAAGTAAGCCGGTGTTTGCATATAGGGGTGGGAGGGAGCCGGTCATTGCTAGGCAGGGCAGGCGCCGAGTGGAGGTGGGGGCCTTCCCTGCCTGCTGGCCCTGGGACCCTGACCCCGCCAGGCAAGAGACAGGTGGGACGGGAGCTGACCAGAGGCTGACGGGTTGCTGGGGAAGGTGAACTGTTGGTGATTGTTGGGGAACACTTCACAGAATTTGCTTGCTAGTTTCAAAGCTTGTGATGCGGTTGATGTTGGGCAAGTTCCCAGTTTTGTCTTCACATGTAGGGGAAGTGGGTTAGCGTAGGAGAAGGGGCGTTGAGGGAAGTCTGTTCCTCCTCTCCGCGTTCAGTGCTTCTGTGGACTCACGGTCAAGAGGTTGGCAGGCTTCCCTTTTCTCAGCCTTGTTGATCATCTGTGTTGGGAAGGGGTTTGGTTTCTGAGGAAGTGAGAAACCTGAAATTGTGCAACCCCCTCAGGCTGCAGGCTGTAGTTGATTGGGTCCTTATCTGGAGGCCTTCAGGGTTTGAGGTCAGGGCAGGGACAGTTCTGGAACACAGCTAAGTTACTGTAAACCACGTGGAGAAGTCCATTGCGGCTTACTCAAGCTAGGTGGTTGGCCCTTCCTTCCCTCAGCGTTGCTACTTGGGAAATGACGGTGGTCTTGTGTCCATGGGGCCAGCTGCTGCACCATCTGGGCTCACTGTGGTCTCCTTCCTTGGAGCGTGGGGTCTGGGCTAGTGGATGGCCGGGGCAGCGTACTCACTGGGCTCCTGGGAGCTCCCCTGGGAGGAAGAGACTGCAGTTGTCTCTGGTCTGAGAGGTGGTGGCTCACCTGGGTGTAGCTCACAATTGCGGAGCTCCACGGCAGCCTGGAGGGAGGGGAGAGTGGGAGTTGAGGTATGCGGTTCTGGGGAGAAGCCTACGGGCTTGGAAAGGAAAAGGGTCTTCAGGGCTCTGTCTACAGAGGCAGCGAGCGGGGCAACAGAGGGAGACTCCATCTCAAGAATTTGTAGAGATGGAGTCTCAATGTGTTGCCCCGGCTGATCTAAAACCCTTGGCCTCAAGCAATCCACTCGCCTCCCAAAGCGCTAGGATGACAGGTGTGAGCCACAGTGCCTGGCCTGCGTGGGTCTGTTTAATCTCCGGGCCTCTTGCTCTCCCTTTCTTGGTGATCTCCTTGGACCACATCCCTGTATCATTCTCTCTCTCGACCCTGAGCCCAGGGTCCAGAGCAGAGAACGGGATGGGGTCTGGGTAGGGGCCCCTCACTTGCAACCAGGATGTTGGGTGGGGGCGACGGGGGACCGACCTTGGGCAGGAGGCATTGTGTCCACCGCAGCATCTGTGCTGGCCCCCAGGGGGGTGGCTCGCATGGCCCAGGGGGACGTCCAGGAGGTGCTGCCCATCTAGGCGCTGGCGGGCTGGGAGCCCCTTGTCCTGGTCAATGCAGAGCTGTCAAAACCGGCCTCTGAGTGATGCTGAGGGGTCAGGCTGTCTCCAGAGAGCACCGGCGATCCCGGCTGTGCTGAGAGGGAGGGCTGAGGGCTGCCTGGACGCCCCTGAGATGAGGCGACTGGTATTTAGGGGATGCGTACTCTCTGGGGCCCGCTGGGGCCTGCAGGGAGAGCTCTCACCGGTCTCAACTCCATGCCTTCTGCCTTGTGCTTCTGGCCCAAGAGGTCGGGGTCACTGACCACCCCGTGTCCACCTAAGGCTTCCCTGGACACACAGCAGGGAGATGGGCAATGAGGGTGGGGGTTGTGGCCCTGCCTGTCACGGTCCCCAGCAGTGCAGATGAATTAGACCATTGAGCCACAGAGCCTGGAGGGCAGATGGGTGTGCTGGTATAAGGAGCCCCGGGCTCTGTGTTACAGGTCATGTGTTCTCACCAGTGGCCTTGCAGGAGGGGAACAGCCCCTTCCCCAGGGCCTCGCTCTGCTCCCCCTGAAGGATGGGGCTGAGGGGACAGCAGGCTCTGGGGGCCTTTCAGACCACATTTGAGTCAAAATTTGACTTCCCCATACTCTGCCTGCTTCCACCTCACCCAACTCTCATCCAGGGGTGACCCTTGTTCTAGCACATGAGGCTGAGGCCAGAGAGGGCAGGGCCTTAGGACACAGCCCAGTCACTGTTCTAATTCTAGAGGCAAGCCCCTTCCATGTCCTGAGCTCTGTAATGCATCTTTTCTTTCATGAGCCTTGCGATCAGGCGATGTTTATTCAGTGGTTACCACATCCAGGCATGCTGCCAGGAGGAGGGGAGTCGTGGGTGAAGCTGATAGGATTCCTGCTGGACTCACAGAGCCTGGGTTAATGACACATTACCCATGTTTAGATAGGAGGTAATTCTGCTCCGGTTTCGACAAGTTGTAGGAAAGGAGGAAAACATGCTCATAGCAGGTGAGCAGCGTACACCTGTCATGGGAGTGAGGGGTCCTTCTGGGGGATGGAGAGACCAAGACGTGAACAGTGAGTGTGGCACGCAGAGTGTCCTCCACCAGAAACAGTGTGGGCTGTTCTCAGACCTGAGAGTGAGCCAAAGGAAGCTGGGACCTTGTCATTCAGGGGACTTGTGCACCGTGAAGATTTATTGGATGCTATGTTTAAGAAAATGGAAAATCCGGCCCGGCACGGTGGTTTGCACCTGTAATCCCAGCACTTTGGGAGGCGGAGGTGGGTGGATTATGAGGTCAGGAGTTCGAGACCAGCCTGGCCAACATGGTGAAACCCCGTCTCTACTAAAGACACAAAAAATCAGCCAGGTGTGGTGGTGGACGCCTGTAATCCCAGCTACTCGGGAGGCTGAGGCAGGAGAATCACTTGAACCCGGGAGGTGGAGGTTGCAGTGAGCCGAGATTGCGCCACAGCACTCCAGCCTAGGTGACAGAGTGAGACTCCATCTCAAAAAAAAAAAAAAAAAAACCGGGGAATCTTTAGAAAGCACAGTGGAAACAGATGTCTGTTTTTACAAGCCCATCACTGCACAGAATGCAATATGGGAGGGTTTCACTAATGGTTAACCATAACCACACTCCAGCGTGAGCCCAGCCACTAGGCAATGTGCTGATAAGGATTCTAAGTGGTTTATGTGGACTCCTCATGACCTATGACACACATACGTTTACAGTGGAGTGGAACGAGGCAGGAGGGCTTCTCTTTGTCATAGTCTACCAGCTCTGCAGAGGTGTCAGCTACATCCGGATTGGCTCAGGGAGCGGCCGTCAGAAGACTTACACGTGTTTAATAACTGAGGTTGTGTGTGTGTGGCAGGGGGTGGGTAACTGTGATGAGTTTGGTGTGGCAGAGGGGGAGCCATAGCCTGTGAAGCTGGAAAGTGTATCAGGTTTGGTCATCAACAGGCTTGAACATGAAGTACAGGAACGTGCATCTTATTTTTGGAAGATGGAGCCCCGTTGGGGGAATTTGAGCAGTGGAGGGTCACAGCCAGGTAAGATGGTCAGAAGAGGCCTCGGAAGTGATGAGAGGGATGGACTGGAGTAGGGATGGGAGCCAGTAGGGGGCCAGGAGGGAGGTTGGTGCAGTGCACAGACAGGGCGTCCTCGGTCCCCAGCTGAGCTTAGACTGTGGGGATGGACCAGCGGACACGGGTGGAGCCGGGTGAGGAGGGATGTGGGCAGAGAGGTTTGGATTTGTTCACTGTGTGTGAAGCAGAAGAGTGTGAGGAGCTTTTCCACTCTCTGCCTTGGTTGATGGGAGGAACCAGTGGGGCTGCCGCAGGACAGACGACCCGCGTGGGAGAAGGAGGCTCGGGGAGATGTTTCTAAGACTTAACTTGCTCACAGAGGGAAGCACAAGCTTCCTTCGAGCCTGGGCTTTGTTTTCCCAAACAGGTCCCTTCACTGACTTTCTTTTTTGAGACGGAGTCTCGCTCTGTCGCCCAGGCTGGAGTGCAGTGGCGCGATCTCGGCTCACTGCAAGCTCCGCCTCCCGGGTTCACGCCATTCTCCTGCCTCAGCCTCCCGAGTAGCTGGGACTACAGGCGCCCGCCACCACGCCCGGCTAATCTTTTGTATTTTTAGTAGAGACGGGGTTTCACCGTGCTAGCCAGGATGGTCTCGATCTCCTGACCTCGTGATCCACCCGCCTCGGCCTCCCAAAGTGCTGGGATTACAGGCGTGAGCCATCGCGCCCAGCCAACTTTCCTGTTAATGAGTAGCACTCTTTTTTTCTTTCTTTTCTTTCCCCCTTTTTTTTTTTTTTTAGACATGGTCTTGCTCTGTTTCCCAGGCTGGAGTGCAGTGGCGTGACCCCAGCTCACTACAACCTCCACCTCCTGGGTTCAGGTGATTGTCCTGCTTCAGCCTCCCAAGTAGCTGGATTACAGGCACGTGCAACCACGCCTGGCTAATTTTTGTATTTTTAGTAGAGACAGAGTTTCACCATGTTGGCCAGGCTATTCTCGAACTCCTGACCTTAAATCATCCTCTTGCCTTGGCCCCCCAAAGTGTTAGGATTACAGGCATGAGCCATCATGCTCGGCCTCTTTTTTCTTTTTCTTTTTTTTTTTTTTTGTTTTTGAGACAGAGTCTTGCTCTGTCACCCAGGCTGGAGTGCAGTGGCGTGATCTCAGCTCACTGCAGCCTCCACCTCCCAGGTGCCAGCGATTCTCCTGCCTCAATCTCCCAGTTAGCTGGGATTACAGATGCGCGCCACCATATCCAGCTAAATTTTGTATTTTTTAGTAAAGACAGAGTTTTACCATGTTGGCCAGGCTGGTCTTGAACTCCTGACCTCAGGTGATCCGCCCGCTTCAGCCTCCCAAAGTGTTGGGATTACGGGCATGAGCCACCATGCTCGGCCTCTTTTTTCTTTGCTTAAAAGATGAGGCCTGTTGCCCAGGCTGGAGTGCAGTGGCACTATCATAGCTCACTGCAGCCTTGACATCGTGGCTCAGGTGATCCTCCCGCCTCAGGCTCCCGAGTGGCTGGGACTACAGACGTGCACCTCCACAGCCACTACTTATTTTTGTAGCGATGTCTATCAGCTGGTGAATAGAGAAAGTGTGGTATATCCTTACAACAAAATATTATTCAACCGTAGAAAGGAATGAAGTACTCATACATGCTACATGTGTGAACCTTGATAATATACTAGATAAAAGCAGTCAGGAAAAAAAGGTCACATATGACGTTATTTCATTTATAAGAAGTATCCAGCCTGGGTGTGGTGGCTCATTGCCTGTAATCCAGCACTTTGGGAGGCCAAGGCAGGTGGATTGCCTGAGTTTAGGAGTTTGAGACCAGCCTGGGCAACATGGTGAAATACCATCTCTACCAAAAATACAAAAAATTCACCCGGCATGGTGGCATGTGCCTGTGATCCCAGCTACTTGGGAGGCTCAGGTGGCAGGATCGCTTGAGCCTGGGAGGCAGAGGTTACAGTGAGCCGAGATCACACCACTGCACTCCAACCTGGGTGACAGAGTGAGTCCCTGTCTCAAAAAAAAAAAAAAAAGGTATTCAAAGAAGGCCAATCGATAGAGGCAGAAAGTAGGTTAATTGTTGCATGGGATTAGGTGGGAGTGATTGCTTGATGTAAACTCGGTTTCCTTCTCGGTATGATAAAAATGTTTCGGAATGAGATAGAGGTGATGCTTACACCATATTGTGAATTTACTAAATGCCACAAAATAGAGTTGTATCTCAATAAAAATATATTTGTTGGGCCGGGTGCGGTGGCTCACGCCTATAATCCCAGCACTTTGGGAGGCAGGCAGATCAAGAGGTCAGGAGTTCAAGACCAGCCTGGCAAAACCCTGTCTCTACTAAAAATATAAAACTTAGCCAGGCGTGGTGGCATGTGTCTGTAATCCCAGCTACTCGGGAGGCTGAGGTAGAATGGAGCGAGACTCCGTCTCAAAAAAAAATATATATATATGTAAATATATATATGTTGGGCATAGTGGTGCACACATGTAGTCCCAGCTACTTGGGAGGCTGAGGCAGGAGAACCACTTGAACCTGGGAAGCGGAGGTTGCAGTGAGCCGAGACTGCACCATTGCACTCCTGCCTGGGCAAAAAGAGTGAAACTCCATCTCGAAAAAAAAAAAAACCACACACACACACGTAGATAAAATCAAATATTCTGTATTCCATAAATATGTACAATTATTATTTTTCAATTAAAAACTCTTAAGCTGGGCACAGTGGCTCATGCCTGTAATCCCAACACTTTGGGAGGCGGAGATGGGAGGCTCTTGAGCCCACAAGTTTGAGGCCAGTTTGGGCAACATCGTGAGATCCCATTGCTACAAAAAAATTTAAAATATATTTTTAAAAAACTCTAATACAGTAGTCCCCCTTTATCTGTAATTTTCTTTCTGTGTTTTCAGTTACCTGGTGGTCAACCATGGTCCAAAAATATTAAATAGAAAAGTTAAGGAATCATAAGTTTTTTTTTTTTTTTTTTATTGATCATTCTTGGGTGTTTCTCGCAGAGGGGGATTTGGCAGGGTCATAGGACAACGGTGGAGGGAAGGTCAGCAGATAAACAAGTGAACAAAGGTCTCTGGTTTTCCTAGGCAGAGGACCCTGCAGCCTTCCGCAGTGTTTGTGTCACTGGGTACTTGAGATTAGGGAGTGGTGATGACTCTTAACGAGCATGCTGCCTTCAAGCATCTGTTCAACAAAGCACATCTTGCACCGCCCTTAATCCATTTAACCCTGAGTGGACACAGCACATGTTTCAGAGAGCACAGGGTTGGGGGTAAGGTCACAGATCAACAGGATCCCAAGGCAGAAGAATTTTTCTTAGTACAGAACAAAATGAAAAGTCTCCCATGTCTACCTCTTTCTACACAGACACCGCAACCATCCGATTTCTCAATCTTTTCCCCACCTTTCCCCGCTTTCTATTCCACAAAACCGCCATTGTCATCATGGCCCGTTCTCAATGAGCTGTTGGGTACACCTCCCAGACGGGGTGGCGGCCGGGCAGAGGGGCTCCTCACTTCCCAGTAGGGGCGGCCGGGCAGAGGCGCCCCTCACCTCCCGGATGGGGCGGCTGGCCTGGCGGGGGGCTGACCCCCCCACCTCCCTCCCGGACGGGGCGGCTGGCCGGGCGAGGGGGGAATCATAAGTTTTTAACAAATCAAAATATTTCTAAAAACCTAGAGTAGGCAGGAAAGGGGAAACAACACACAGCAGAGGAGACAAACAAAAAGGCACACCTGAACACAGTCATGCACCGCATAACGATGTTTCGCTCCACTACACATTTCATATGTGATGGTATAGCCTATGTATGTAGTAGGTTATACCACGTAGGTTTGTGTAAGTAGACTCTATGATGTTCACACGACGGTGAATTTTTTTTTTTCTTTTTTTTGAGATGGAGTCTCATTCTGTCTCCCAGGCTGGAGTGAAATGGCACGATTTTGGCTCACTGCAACCTCCGCCTCCCAGGTTCAAGCGATTCTCCTGCCTCAGCTTCCCAAGTAGCTGGGATTACAGGCATGCACCACGATGCCCGGCTAATTTTTGTATTTTTAGTAGAGACAGGGTTTCACCATGTTGAGCAGGCTGGTCTCGAATTCCCGACCTCTGGTGATCCACCCATCTTGGCCTCCCAAAGTTCTGGGATTACAGGCATGAGCCACCACGCCTGGCCAAAATTTTTTAATGATGGCTTTCTCAGAACATATCCCTGTCATTAAGTGACATACGGTTGTAATGTCATCAGTGATTACATTAAATATAAGTGATCAAAAAGAGATTACAAGATTGGAATTTTTTTTTTTTGAGACAGAGTCTTGCTCTGTTGCCCAGGCTGTAGTGCAGTGGTGTGATCTCGGTTCACTGCAACCACTGCCTCCTGGGTTCAAGCAGTTCTCTGCCTCAGCCTCCCTAGTAGCTGGGATTACAGGTGCCTGCCACCACACCTGGCCAGTTTTTGTATTTTTAGTAGAGATGGGGTTTCACCATCTTGGCCAGGCTAGTCTTGAACTCCTGACCTTGTGATCCACCCGCCTTGGCCTCCCAAAGTGCTGGGATTACAGGCATGAACCCCCGCGCCTGGCCTGTTGTTTATATTTTATCACATTAAAAAAGCAGAAGGATGAAAAATGTATTATGCAAACACTAATCAACAGATAATTTCACTGGCTTGTTAGTTGTTTTGTTTTTTTGAGACAGGGTCTCGTCCAGGCTGAAGTGCTGTGGTGCGATCTCGGCTCATTGCAGCCTCGACCTCCTGTACCCAAGTGATCCTCCCACCTCAGCCTCTCAAGTAGCTGGGACTACAGGTGTGTGCCACCACGCCGGACTGGTTTTATTTTTTGTAGAGATGGGGCCTCACAATGCTGATCTGACTGACTCGAACTCCTGAGCTCAAGCTATCCTCCCCACTTGCCCTCCCAAAGTATTGGGATTACAGGTGTGAGCCACTGCACCTGGTTATGCTTCTTTTTTATTTTTTTTCTTTCTTTTTTTTTTTTTTTCGAGACGGAATCTCACTCTGTCGCCCAGGCTGGAGTGCAGTGGTGCGATCTCAGCTCACTGCAAGCTCTGCCTCCCGGGCTCATGCCATTCTCCTGCCTCAGCCTCCTGAGTAGCTGGGACTATAGGCACTCGCCACCACGCCCGGCTAATTTTTTTGTATTTTTAGTAGAGACGGGGTTTCACCGTGTTAGCCAGGATGGTCTCGATCTCCTGACCTCATGATCCGCCCGCATCAGCCTCCCAAAGTGCTGAGATTATAGGCGTGAGCCACCGCGCCCGGCCTATTTATGCTTCTTAATTTTCCCATGTCATAAGTTCGATGTATAATATTTACATTATCATTCAGTTTAAAACATTCACTGTTTTTTTTTTTAGAGACAAGGTCTCGCTCTGTCACACAGGCTGGAGTGCAGTGGCACAGTCATAGCTCACTGCAGCCTCAGCAGCCTTAACTTCTTGTGTTCAAGGAATCCTCCCCACTCAGCCTCCTGAGTACCACACCCGGCCTTTACGTCTGTTTTTGTTTTTTGTTTTTTTGTTATTAACTCATTGATTGTTGAGAAGTCTGTTGCTTTATTTCCAAAATGGGACGATATTAGTCATCTTTGAGTCAGGTGAGTCCCACAAGTTCCCAGCGTCTCCTCATGGTCTGTGTTAGGGGTCCAGGCTGACTGGGGTTCACTGGTGTCCACTGGGGGCAGCTCCCGTGCCTTCAGCAGTCCTGAGTCTCCTTCTGCTGAGTGTGGGGTCTGCGTACCCCCCGGGCTAGTGGATGGCCAGAGTGGCGTAGATGCTGGGCTCAGCTGGAGGTTCCCCTTCCTGGGATGGAGGAGGCTCAGTTGCCTTCCGTCTAAGGGTCAAGCTGTGCAGCTGGGCGTAGGTCACATCCTGGGAGGCTTCAGATGCAGCAGCCTGCAGCGGGGGAGAGTGAGAGGTAAGGAACGTGGTGGGGGTGGGGGAGGCCTGGGGGCCTGGAGAGGAAAGGACTCACCTCAGTGTCCATCTGCCTGTCCTCTTCCACCTGTCTGTCCTTTGTGTCCAGGAATTCCCCAGACAGTGAGGAGGGAGGAGAGGCCATTTCTCTCCTAGGACTGGAGTGTTTCACCGGGGCATACGTCACTGCCTGGGGGTCTTCATCGTGTGGGCTCTGCTGGAGAGAGACAGTGGTGGGGGGTGTCCTTGAGTCCCCCTGACCTCCTGGAGTCAATTTTCCTCACTGTTCCCGGGGTGATCCGATTACATCCCTTTCCTGATGGAATCTCAGGGACGCCCTAAGGCCGTGGAGGGTCTGGCCGCTCCCTCCCTGTGGTTCTGGCCTCTGCTCCTCACTCTGACCTTGCCCATTTGGCTGCAGCCTCACAGGCCTTCCTGCAAGAGCTCGCTGCTGCCTGGGGGCCTTTGCACGGCTGTTTCCTCTGCCTGCAGGGGCTCGTCTATCAGAGGATCATGTGCCCCACTCTGTCCAGGCTTCTCAGATGACAGCTGAGCAGACAGCCCTCCCCTTCCATTCAGACTGGCCCCACTGCCCCACACTCTCTGCCCTTTCCCTGGTGTATGTTCCTTACAGCACGTTGCACTCCTGGACACGATGCATTTATTTGCATTTTGTCTCCCACCATGAGGTGAGCTCAGGAGGCGGGGGCGGCTTTGCTCCCTGCTGTGTCTGCAGCTCCCATGGGGAGCCCCATCCACAGTGAGCTCCCTGGGAACACTCGCTGGATGAATGAATGAAGAGGAGCCCAGGGGACGGAGGTGGTTCATTTATTCGTCATCCTCCTGAGGCCTGGGGAGAGCTCTAACAACCAGACGGCCAAACAGAGGATGAGGAGCAGGAAGGGGACCCGGGAGGAGGCCCACGAGGTCCCAGGACAGCAGAAGAGAGTGAGGTCACAGCAGGCGGGAGGCAGCATGCTGGACAAGGAGGGGTCCACCGTGACGATGCTGAGAGCCGGGGGAAGGAGGACAGAGAAGTCCTGCAGGATTAGATCTGGCACCAGGAGGCCTTTGGTGCCTGGGACGGGGCGGGATCTCACCTGACTGTCCAGCTCCACCCTGTCCTCAGACTGTGTGTCCTTCACGGCAGCATCTGCTGGGGCAGAGCAAGGGGTTCGTCTCCTGGTTCTCTGAGACCTCTCAGTCCTGCTGGCCCCCTGCCCTGCTCCCAGATGGGGCCACCGAATGCAGGGAGGTCCCACAGTGTGGGGCAAGACCATCTTCCACGGAGCCCCAGACCCTTCCCAGCCCCTCCCTGTTGCTACTGAAATTTTGGGACTCCTGTCTCTCCAGCACCCCCATTTGTCCCCTCTCTTCCTCTTACAGAGGTTTTCTTCCTGGACGTCAGCAGCTGGGCTGGACCTGGAGGAGGACATGGGAGTGTGAGGGGCAGTGTATGGGCTGTGGTGGGTGGGAGTCTGTGGTCTTTGGGGCAGAATTACCTCCTCAGCAGGCCCCTGTCCTTGGGCTCTGTCTCCGCAGCCCCTGCAGGACGCTGGAAATCAGTCTTTCTCTGGTCTGGGTGAAGATGGACAGAGTCTCAGCCCTGGGAACATTAGAACTCCCATTCTACACATGCAACTTGAGGGAAAGAAGGAAAACTAAAAATATTCCTGCATGGATGTTCCAAATATTTTATGAGATAGAAAAAAACTCCCATGAATACTGAAGTTTGTAAATGCGTATTGAAATTACGTGCCCCTGGAACCGGTTTTCTAAACTGACACCCCTGTGTGTTTGGGTTCCCTCTGGCTGGTGCCCTGAGCCCACCCTCGGTCGACCCATGGGTCCCCCGCTTCCCTACTCACCAGATGTCCTGTGTTTGCTGTGACGCTGACGTCGGAGGAGGAGGAAGAGGAGGAGGAAGAGCAGCAGGACGAAGGCCACCGAGACCCCAATCAAAACCTCCAGGTATCTTCCCAGACCTTGACATGAGGACGTCAGGAGTGGGAATGATGTCATTGATGTGAGCACCTACTGTGTGCAGGCGCGAGCCAGGTCTTTCCTTCGTGACCTCCAACCCTCACAAGCAGTCGTGCAACATGGAATTGCCACCCGTACAACCCATTTCACAGATGCACAAACTGAGGCTCAGAGCAGGGAGTCGCCTGCCCCAGGCCTCCAGCGAGGAAGCGGCAGAGCTGGGAAGGGAGCCCGGGAGTCTGACCTGCAGCCCTTGTTCCTGCACCAGAGCCGAGACCCGGAGCTGCAGGGAAAGAGCCTGACCGTCCTGAACCACGGCCCTGCTCCCCTCCCCTGCCCCAGGTCACCGTCACTGCTGCAGGTGGGACGGGACAGGCCCCTGTGGAATCGGGTCTGGGAGGTTCCCTGGGAGGCCTCCTCTCCCAGGAGGTCACAGCTGGGGGTCAGAGCTGAAAGGAACTTTCCCACCCACAGGCCTCTCTCCTTTACACTTGGAGAAACTGAGGCCCAGGCAGGGGAGGGGCCTGTCCACATCACCACCTCCAGAGGAGCCTGAACCTAGGACAGAACCCACCCCTGCCTCCCCTGGACCCCGCCCATCTCCCACTCAGAGCCCCTCACTCACGATTCTGAGGGCCTGACCCTGGGGGGTTAAGGGGCTGGTCCTCAGGACCTCCTGGGTCAGGACAGGGAGGTGAAGGCTGGGGCTGTCTTGCCCCCCACATCAGCCCGGCTCCTCCTCCTGGCTGGGCCCCAACATCTCCCTCTGCCTCGACCCCCCACTCTTCACCAGCCCAGCCTCAGAGCCCCTGGGACACAAGCCCGTCCTTGAGGGGAGGGGAGTGGGATCCTTTGGGAGACTCAGACTGCCCTGGGGGAGGCGGCGCTCCCCACGAGGCCTCAGTGACTCACCAGGTGTGGAGGGCGGCCCTGTGGGTGGGAGGCTGGAGCCTCCAGAGTGTCCTGGAAGGAGCACGGGAGGCGGGTGAGGGGCGGGGGCCGTCCATGGAGTGCACCCTTCCACTCCCACTCTCCTGCTTCCGCCCAGTGGATTCCCTGGAACCATCTCTCTGCCCACCTGGTGCCTTCTGCATGCCAGGCAGGGGAGAACGGGTGGCCACGCCTAGGAGAACCCCTGTTGGCCTCCTCCCCTCTGAGGGCTGGGTGCCCTCTGGCTAAGCCTCCCTCACAGCCTCCCTCGGTCCATCCCAGCCGAGAGCTCTCCTGGGGGCCTGGGCCTGAGCTGAGCCTTTGAGCTCAGAGAGGACGGGGTCAGCGCCCTCACCTGAGACCACGAGCTCCAGGGGCTCACTGGGGTGAGACAGCAGGTGGGGGTTGGAGCTGTATGAGCCGTAGCACCTGTAGGTCCCCGCGTGGGCTGAGGTCACAGGACTCATGGGGAATTC